>NC_000017.11:3975959-4127474 GCF_000001405.40 Homo sapiens | reverse complement strand
TTCCCCTATCCATATTATTTTGAAGTGAATCTTGACATCATATCATTTCATCCATAAATATTTCATTATGTATCTCTACAAAATAACACTTTAAAAAACACATGCAACACTGCTGTCGCCCTTTTCTCCTCAAAGCAAAACACAAAGTCCAGTTTCTCCTTAAGATCATTTAGAGCTGGGCATCGTAACTTGCCTATAATCTCAACTCTTTGGGAGGCCGAGGTGGGAAAATCTCTTGAAGGCAGAAGTTTGAGACCAGCCTAGGCAGCAAAGTGTGAGACCCCCTCTCTACAGAAAAATTAAAGGATCAGCCAGGTGTGAAACGCCTGTAGTCCCAGCTACTTGGGAGGCTGAGGCAGGAGCATCTCTTGAGCCCAGGAGTTTGAGGTTACAGTGAGCTGATCGCACTACTGCACTCCAACCTTGGTGACAGAGCAAGATTGTTTTCTCAAAAAAAAAAAAAAAATCCAGTCAGTTCTGCTTTTTGTTTTGTTTTGTGTTTGTTGTTGAGACAGACTCTCGCTCTAGCACCCAGGCTGGAGTGCAGTGTTATAATTTTGGCTCACTGCAACCTCCACCTCCTGGGTTCAAGTGATTCTCGTGCCTCAGCCTCTGGAGTAGCTGGAATTACAGGTGTGTGCCATGATGCCCAGCTAATGTTTTGTAGTTTTAGTAGATACGGAGTTTTGCTGGCTTGGCCAGGCTGGTCTTGAACTCCTGGCCTGAAGTGATCCACCCTTTTGGGAGGCACTTTGGCCTCCCAAGGTGCTGGAATTATAGACATGAGCCAGCACACCTGGCCCAGTTCTGCTTTTTAAAATAGGCTTTTTACCACTTACATCCACTTTCCACAGCACCTGTTATTACCAGCCCCTAAGTCTTTTTGGGCCTGCAGCATGGGACAGCTTCCTTCTCAGCCTTGCCTACCCAGATTAGAATTCCACCTTCTTGGATCAACCAACCAGGTACTACTTATCCATCTGTTTCCAAGCTTCCAAAATTTTGTAGCTGTTGCATCTTGTATTCTTTGTCTGTGTGCTTAAAACACACACACCCCAGATCTCTTGATAATATTGTCTTAGTGGGTTTTGGGAGGGAACAGAGGTAAATGCGTTTGTTTAGTATGACTTTTTTGAACTATGAGTACTCCCGATGACTGGTTGTCCAGACGCTGCTCTGAAGCCTTGAGGGATAGGGTGTAGGCATTTTTTCCCAGAGCCTCCTAACTCTTTTTTTTTTTTTTTTTTTTGAGACGGAGTCTTGCTCTCTGTCACCCAGGCTGGAGTGCAGTGTGTGATCTCAGCGCACTGCAGCCTCTGCCTCCTGGGTTCAAGCAATTCTCTGCCTCAGCCTCCCAAGTAGCTGGGATTACAGGTGCCTGCCACCATGCCTGGCTAATTTTTTGTATTTTTAGTAGAGACGGGGTTTCACCATCTTTGCCAGGCTGGTCTTGAACTCCTGACCTCATGATTCACCCACCTCGGCCTCCCAAAGTGCTGGGATTACAGGTGTGAACCACCGCGCCCGGCCTCCTAACCCATCTTTATGCCCATGACAACAGACAGGTCCACTTTTATCATGAGCATTTCCCTCTGTCTTCTATCCAATGACATTAATTTTAACTGCTGCTTCCCTCCTTCCCATTATAGCTCATCAGGACTGTGTGACTCCCAGGCCTCTTTTCTCTGCACTTAAGATTCCCCCAACAGGGCACAGTTTCTAGTCTTCTTTCTGTCATGGTTTCTGTCCTCTGATCTCTTCCATTCATTTCTTTTTGGTGTGTAGCTTCAAAACCAAACTCACCTTTCTTGATTGGGTCTAGTCAGAGTAGAAAAAGATAATACCTGCTCTCCTTTTGAATGTTATACCTTGATTAGTGAAGTCTTTGATCCTATTAACTTTTTGGATAATCTTGCCAGGTTGAACAGAGGCAAAAAGAATGCTGTGATCTTTTCCATGCTGCTTCTAAGCTGACTGTCCCCATTACTGCATTTATGCCCATGGTTTTTGGACTCAAATACAGGAATTTGCATTTGTTCCTCTTAAACACTGCATTGTTCAGAGGTCTATGATGGAAATAGGGGTATTTATGTTAGTCATGAAACCTCAGTAGGTTGTTTTCCTATTTCATGGAGGAGAGAAATAAGAACAAGGGGCAGGAGTTTTAAGAAAGAGAGAGGGTTACTTGGAAAGGAGGCTTAAAGACTCCTGAAGTATTGCATGGTGAGAGCGATGTGTGAGTGAGTGTATCAGCAGGAGGGCAGAAGGCATTGTTGAGGAAGGGTTTGAAATCTGGGGAGAGAGGGCAGTTGCTAAGTGAGGTAAGTCTTGTAGGATGTAAGGGAAGGGGGTCAGGGACACCAGAGGGTGAGGTTAGAAAGGAGAAGGGGAACACTACAGGGCCGATGTGCTTTTCACTGTACTGGGCTCTGTTCAAATGTTACTTAATCCAGGCAGCAGCCTGTGAGGTTGACAATATTCGCTGCATCTTTCAGATCAAGAAGCTGTGGCTTATGGAGGTAAAGAAACTTAGGTAAGGTCACATAGCAGAGTAGTGATAGAGCAGATTTAAACCAAATCTCTACTGTCCCAGGTTCCCCAGATGGCCCAACATGGGCAAGAGACAAGCTAGATTACAATTAAAGGTTAGTGAAAACAGGGCTGTGAAACAGATAAACCAAGTTAGCTCTTGTGTCCAAAGAGTGTTGAAAAAGCCCAGGCAGACGCGGTGGCCCACACCTGTAATCCCAGCACTTTGGGAGGCTGAGGTGGGCGGATCACCTGAGGTCAGGAGTTTGAGACCAGCCTGGCCAACATGGAGAAACCCCATCTCTACTGAAAATACAAAAAAAAAAAAAAAAAAAATCAGCTTGGCGTTGTGGCAGGCGCCTGTAGTCCCAGCTACTCAGGAGGCTGAGGCAGGAGAATCACTTGAACCCGGGAGGCGGAGGTTGCACTGACCTGAGGTCGCACCACTGCACTCCGGCCTGGGCGACAAGAAAGAAACTGTGTCTCAAAAAGGGAAAAGAAAAAGCCCAGCTAAAGTCGAGGTGCTATTCTAAGCCAATTCTTTATATTCTGGCACTTTGCAACCAGTTGAAAAACTTTACAGTGGCTGCTTCCTTCTGAAATTATTTAGTGGGGAGGAGACTTACTACATAATTACTCTCTTGGATTACTTAATGGTTACTCTCTTGGAATATAGATTGGAATACAAATAAGATGTGTACTTGCATACATACATCCTACAAAGCGCAGTGAGTTCCTGTTCTAAATTTATCTTTGGTTGATACATATGGACTCTTCTCTCTGCAACCAAAAATAAATAAATCACCGGTCTCGAGAATTTTAAATAAAAGAAACTTGAAACTGCCCTCGTTTACTTGAAACAGCCCTGATTTTCTTGCATCTCTTATCTTGTAGGCCTTTGCCCAGTTTGATGCTGAGGGTGATGGGACAGTTGATGCCGAGAACATGTTGGAGGCCCTCAAGAATTCCAGTGGAGCTAATCTTCAGGGGGAGCTGAGCCACATCATCAGACAACTACAGGCCTGCTCTCTGGTTCCAGGTGAGGCTTCCATCTAGGTGCTGTCTTAGAACCAAAGTGAACTTTGCTATACTACTGATTGAAATTAGGCAAAATTGTGGCCACATGCAGTAAACTCCCCCAACAGTGTTCATTAGGCTCCCGATCTGAATTAGCATTTCCTTTAGTCATCTCTTTCATCCCCAGTACGGTGGTGGCTAAGCAGTTCTACCGTTTTATAACATGAACCCTTGTCACGTGGCCGCTTTCCTTATTGGATCTCTTCATTTCACTACAGAAGCCCTCCTTGGCCTTCACTGTTCATTCTCTTAGCATCCTGCATTCTTTTTTGCAACATATTACCATTGTAATTGATCAATTCATTATTCAATTATTAGTAAAGTGTTTGTCTTCACTCATGTACTATAGTTCCACGAGGGCAGGGACCTTCTGTCTTATTTCTGCTCTGTCCTCACATTTGCGTCATTTTTTTTGGCATGTGGTAAGCACTTAGTGGTTTTTTAAGAAAGCTATTACAGTATTCCCTCCTTACCCATGCGGGAGATGTTCCAGCACCCCCAGTGGGTGCCTGAAACCAAGGATAGTACCCAACCCTATATATACTATATATTTTTCTGATATATATATATATATATATATATATATATATATATATATATGGTTATGATAAATTCTAATGTATAAATTAGGCATAATAAGAAGAGGTCAGGCCGGGCGCGGTGGCTTACGCCTGTAATCCCAGCACTTTGGGAGGCCGAGGCGGGCGGATCACGAGGTCAGGAGATCGAGATCATTCTGGCTAACACAGTGAAACCCCGTCTCTACTGAAAATACAAAAAAATTATCCGGGCATGGTGGCGGGTGCCCGTAGTCCCAGCTACTCGGGAGGCTGAGGCAGGAGAATGGCGTTAACCTGGGAGGCGGAGCTTGCAGTGAGCCGAGATCGCACCACTGCTCTCCAGCCAGGGCAACAAAGCGAGACTCCATCTCCAAAAAAAAAAAAAAGGAAGAGGTCAATAACAATAGCTGACAATAAAATAGAATGATTATAACAATATAGTAAAATAAAAATTAGGTGAATGTGGCTCCTCTTTCTTTCTCTTTCTGTCTCACAGTATCTGTACCATACTCACCTATTTTGGCGTCTTTATTGACCACAGGTAACTGAAATTGTGGATAAGGGAGGACTACTATATTCAGAAATTTAAGTAAGAATAAAAATAGCTTAAAATTAAGCAATGCCGGCGGGGCACAGTGGCTCACGCCTGTAATCCCAGCACTTGGGGAGGCCGAGGTAGGCGGAGTTCCCGACCTGAGGTCGGGAGTTCAAAACCAGCCTGACCAACATGGAGAAACTCCGTCTCTACTAAAAATACAAAAATTAGCTGGGCATGTTGGTGCATGCCTGTAATCCCAGCTATTCGGGAGGCTAAGGCAGGAGAATCACTTGAACCCTGGGAGGTGGTGGTTGCAGTGAGCTGAGATCGCACCATTGCACTCCAGCCTGGGCAACAAGAGCGAAACTCCGTCTGGAAAAAAAAAAAAAGAAAAGACATGGCCTGTGTTTTTGTATTTTTTTGGGGGGGAGCTCAGACTTACACGTAAAGACAGAATCATAATAAAATTAACATTTGTTTTTTCTAGTGAGAAGACAATTGTGTTTGAAAGAGAAAGAAACTTTGTACATTTTCCTTTCGGTCTTGGTTTACTTTACCTCAGCGTTTTTCCTGCTCTGTGCACTTGGTGTCATAATACTTAGGGTCACTAGGGCAGCAATGGAGGCAAAATAGATTTGATAGACACATAAATGTAAATCTGATTGCTCTTGACCCTCTAGCTTACTCACTGCTGAGTGACGTATTGAGCTAGGGAAGGATAGTTTCCATACATTAATGAAGAATGTATATTTCCAGCCAGACATGGTGGCTCATGCCTGTAATCTCAGCACTTTGGGAAGCCGAAGTGGAAGGATTGCTTGAGGCCACGAGTTGAGACCAGCCAGGGCAGCATAGTGAGACCCCATCTCTTACGAAAAAAATTAGCAGGTCATGGTTGTGTGCACCATTGGTCCCAGCTACTCGGGATACTGAGGCAGGAGGATTGCTTGAGACCAGGAGGTTGAGGCTGCAGTGAGCCGTGATCACGCCACTGTACTCCATCCCTGTGATAGAGCGAGACCCTGTCTCAAAAAAAAAAAAAATGTGTATCTCCATTCTCCTTCAGGTTGTCTTTAATTATGTAATGTTATACATGTTAACTTTTTCCCTAGTCTCATGGCAATTAAAATTATTATTATTTTTCTTTTGAGACAGAGTCTTGCTCTGTCACCCAGGCTGGAGTGCAGTGGGATCTCCATTCACTGCAGCCTCCACCTCCTGGGTTCAAGTGATTGTTGTGCCTCAGCCTCCCGAGTAGCTGGGAGCACAGGCAACTGCCACCACGTCCGGCTAATTTTTATGTTTTTAGTAGAGATGGGGTTTCACCATATTGGCCAGAGGCTGGTCTTGAACTCCTGACCTCAAGTGATCCACCTGTCTTGGCCTCCCAAAGTGTTGGGATTACAGGCGTGAGCCACTGCACCCGGCCTGAATTATCTTTAGCTAGCTTTTATCTTAGCGTTTACATACTACTCCACTTTTGCATTACCAGCATGTGGATAGCATCAGGAGCTTTATTTGGACACCTCAGACAGTTTTGGGGAGGAAAGCAGAGGGATTGAGACCAGGGAATCCACCAACAGATAATTCGTAGTGTACTGTTGTGCTGGGCAACTGCTGAAATGGGGGATGAGATTGAGAAAGCATCAGGGTCCAAATCTCAAGGCACTTACATAGCAGGCTCATGACTTAGGACTTCCTACTCAAAACTTTTCATCAGCACCCAATTCATCAGTCTTGGAATGAACCTTTGTAAGCTGAAGTTGCTTTGGTGGTGGGAATTTTTAGTTTCTAACCTTCGTCTGCACTAAAACTAGTTCCTTTTGTATCTCATGGTGTTGGTGCTTAAGCGTTTAAGAAAAGAGAACAGTACCTTTTCCAAATTCATTAGGCTTGGAATTCATTTACTGAAGGCTAAATTAATTTACCAAATGTTTCAGCATATGAAAACACTTTTTCCATCATAGGAACAAGTTTTTGTTTTGTTTTTAACATAGATACAACGTTTTGCCATGTTGCCCAGTCTGGTCTTGAACTCCTGAGCTCGGGCATTCCACCTACCTTGGCCTCCTGAAATGTGGGGATTACAGGCATGAGCCACTGTGCCAAATCTGTTTTCTCACATAGGTTTTGAGCAAAACAGTGCAGCATCAGCAGTATCCTAAATATGAAGCTCAGGTATTACTGTGGAGTCAGCTAAGAAAAAGACTGAGCCACTCCTGGCTTCTTTCTTCCCCAGCTTTCAGACGGCCTGTCATGGGACTTTGCCTTGTGATTGTGTGAGCCAATTCTCCTTAATAAACTCCCTTTTATATATACATATATCCTATTATTTCTGTCCCTCTGGAGAACACTGACTCATACAGATTTTGATACCAGAAGGGGTTCTAAAGGAACATTTTTTTTTTTTTTCTGAGACGGAATCTTGCTCTGTCACCCATGGTGGAGTGCAGTGGCGCAGTCTCGGCTCGCTGCAACTTCTGCCTCCCGGATTCAAGCAATTCTCCTGCCTCAGCCTCCCGAGTAGCTGGAATTACAGGCACCCGCCACCGCGCCCAGATAATTTTTGTATTTTTAGTGGAGATGGGGTTTCATCATGTTGGCCAGGCTGCTCTTGGAACTCCTGACCTCGTGATCTGCCCGCCTTGGCCTCCCAAAAGTGCTGGGATTACAGGCATGAGCTACTGCGCCTGGTCTTTGAGGAACAGAATTTTAAGGATGGATTCCTTTAGTTGGTTTTGTAGTTTTGGGAGTTGGCTGTTTAATTTGATTAGACCCAAAAATGCTAAGGAGTCTACCTCTAATAGTATGGAGAATGCTGTTAGTCCTTGGTGTGAACTGTTAAGAGAGTTGTGCAGAATAAATGCACTTGATATTCCCGATTCACCTCTCTTGAGAATCAAGGAGTTTAGTGACTCTATACATGATACCTTTGGCCATATATGGAGAACCAAGGACTATAATGAAGTTGGTTGGTGCTCCTAAGTTTGCTGGACAAAGTGATGAAAGAAGAGGATGAGCTCAGGGATTCTGTCTCCAGAAATGCTTACTTAGCCTCACATCTTCCAAGATTGCCCTGGGTGAGAGTCTTACCTCCTTTAGACAAAGGGCTGAAATTGTGGAAAATCAGACACAAGCTCATGTCATGTGAGTGGCTGACCTCCAATGAAAGGTGCATGCTCAGTCTCAGCAGGTGTCTACTTTTAAAATGAGGGCATTGATTGGGAAAGAACGGGACGCAGTGGATAACTGGAATAGACATACTTAGCATCTGGCAGAATCCCCATGTTGGCTTCCTGACCAGTAGGGTGAGAGCTGTTCCGGTGGGAAAGGCCAAATGGAAGCCATCAGAGCTGGCTCTACCTAGAAAAATAGTAAATCAGAAACAATATCGCACTCCTGGAGGGATTGCAGACATTGGTGCCACCATCAAGAACTTGAAAGATGCAAAGGTGGTGATTCCCACCATGTTCCCATTCAACTCTCATATTTGGCCGGTGCAGAAGACGGATGAATATTGGAGGATGTCAGTGGATTATCGTAAGCTTAACCAAGTGGTGACTCCGATTGTAGCTGCTGTACCAGATGTGGTTTCATTGCTTGAGCAAATTAACACATCTCCTGATACTTGGTATGCAGCCATTGATTTGGCAAATGCCCTTTTCTCCATTCCTGTCCATAAGGCCCACCAGAAGCAATTTGCCTTCAGCTGACAAGGCCAGCAATATACCCTCACTGTCTTACCTCAGGTACATCAACTCTTCAGCTTCACGTCATAATATTGTTTGCAGAGATCTTGATCACTTTCCCTTCCACAAGATATCACACTGGTACATGACACTGATGACATTGTGCAGATTGGACTCAGTGAGTGAGAAGTAGCAAACACACTGGACTTATTGGTGAGACGTTTGTGTGCCAGGGGGTGGGAAATAAGTCTGAAATAAATTCAGGTACCTTCTACCTCAGTGAAATTTTTAGGGGTTCAGTGATGTGGGGCTGTGAAGATATTCTTTCTAAGATAAAGGATAAGTTGCTGTATTTCGCCCCTCCTACAACCAAGAAAGAGGTACATCACCTAGTGGACCAACTTGGATTTTGGAGGCAGTGCATTCCTCATTTGGGTGTGTTGCTCTGGCCCATTTATCCAGTGACCCGAAAGGCTGCCAGTTTTGAGAGGGGTCCAGGACAGAAGGTAGCTCTGAAACAGGTCCAGGCTGCTGTGCAAGCTGCTCTGCCGCTTGGGTCATATGACTCAGCAGATCTGATGGTGCTTGAGGTGTCAGTGGCAGACAGGGATGCTGTTTGGAGCCTTTGGCAGACCCCCATAGGTGAATCACAGCAGAGGCCTTTAAGATTTTGGAGCAAGGCCCTACTATCTTTTGCAGATAACTACTCTTCTTTTGAGAGACAGCTCCGGGCCTTGGTAGAAACTGAACATTGGACTATGGGTCAGCAATTTACCGTGTGACCTGAACTGCCTGTCATGAACTGGGTGCTTTCTGACCCATCCAGCCTAAAGTTGGGTGTGCACAGCAGCATTCCATCATCGAATGAAAGTGGTATATATGTGATTGGGCTTGAGCAGGTCCTGAAGGCACAAGTAAATTACATGAGGAAGTGACTCAAATGCCCATGGTTCCCACCCGTCACCCTGCCTTCTCTCTCCCAGCCTGTACCGATGGCCTCATGGGGGGTTCCCTATTACCAGTTGACATCTTGGTGTGTCACCTGAGCCTCATTTTCCTCAGTTGTTAAAAAGGATAGCTGTACCTTCTGTGCCTCCCCTCACCTTACTGTGAGGATGGAATGATATGATGTATGTGGAAGCACCTTATTGGTTGTAAAATGCCGTTGGAAACTGTGGTAATGGCAGTGGTTGTATTGTCATTATCATTGTCTTAGTATCTTAGTATAAAAGCAGTTATGATTTTACTCTTAATGCACTGAACTTTATTTCTACCCTGTATTCTATACGCAAGACTTCCTTAAAAACGTCTATTAGTGTTTAAGTGCTTATACATTTTTGAAGATTGGATTGAAACAAAAAATCGTTATTCTAAGTCTTCTAAAATATTTTTCAACTAAAATTAAATTAATTCTTTTTTTTTTTTTTTTTTTTGAGGTGGAGTTTCACTGTTGTTGCCCAGGCTGGAGTGCAGTGGCGTGATCTGGGCTCACTGCAACCTCCGCCCCCTGAGTTCAAGCGATTCTCCTGTCTCAGCCTCCCAAGTAGCTGGGATTACAGGCGCCTGCCACCACCCCCAGCTAACTTTTTTGTATTTTTAGTAGAGATGGGGTTTCACCATGTTGGCCAGGCTGATATCGAACTCTTGACCTCAGGTCATCCGTCCGCCTCGGCCTCCCAAAGTGCTGGGATTACAGGCGTGAGCCACTGCACCCAGCTAAATTAATTCTTAAGTTCAGAATGCTACTGGTTCATTTCTTTAAAACTTAGATTTTTTAACAATTAAAACTGAAAATATCAATGAAGATTGTTAATGACTGCTTTTAATTTAGCCAATTCAGATAGGCCACCAGGCAGGGGATGTGGAAACTACTGTGGCTTCCCCAAAACACCAAAAATGGATTTCATCTGTTTAGGTTTCACAGACATATTTTCAGAGTCGAAGGAGGGCCTTGATATTCACTCGTCAATGATACTGCGCTTCCTGCACCGCAATCGGCTCTCCAGCGCGGTGATGCCCTACCCGATGCTGGAGCACTGCAATAACATGTGCACCATGCGGTCTTCCGTCCTGAAGGAGTCTCTGGATCAGCTGGTACAAAAGGAAAAGGGTATGTGTGTGTGGGGGTTCTCCTGAAAATACTCTGATCATTTCTTCTAACTGTTGTGTTGGTAAAATGAGCCAATTCTTTTCCCTGCCTTCATTTCTGAAAATACAGAGTCATGAGTTTGTAACGTAAGAATGTGATCTTTCTCCTCATTCCCTTTCTTCTTAACACAGCTGGTTTCTCATCATTCAATTCTCTGCTCAGATGTGACTTTGAGGGATGCCTTTCCGCTTTATCTAATTAACACCTCCCCTACCCCACCTTCTGGTCAGGGTCACCTTTGCAGGTTTAATGGTGGAAATCGCGCTTATTGTTATCTGAAGTTGTAGCATTATTGATTCACTTGTGTGTTGTCTGTCTTGTCTGCTTCCTCATTCCTGCACTGTGCCTGTTGCATGGTAGGTATTCAATGAGTATTTGCTGGATAAATGAAGGAAGCCACCACAGACTCACTTGGAGATGGCAACAGAAGTTCATGATGTGTATAAATAGGTCTGTGGAACATAACAGAGCCCAGGCATAGACGCCGATATACATGTGAGAACATAGTACCAGATAAAGTCAGTGTTATAAATCAGGATGGAAAGGTGAACTTCCAACAGATGGAGTTAGGGCACCTAGTTAGCCATTTGAAGAAAAAATAAAACTTAGATGTTTTTTTGGAGACTGAGTTTCGTTCTTGTTGCCCAGGCTGAAGTGCAATGGCGTGATCTCTGCAGCCTCCACCTCCTGGGTTCGAGCGATTCTCCTACCTCAGCCTCCTGAGTAGCTGGGATTACAGGCATGTGCCACCACGCCCGGCTAATTTCTGTATTTTTAGTAGAGACAGGTTTCACCGTGTTGGTCAGACTGGTCTTAAACTCCTGACCTCAGATGATCCACCCACCTTGGCTTCCCAAATTGCTGGGATTACAGGTGTGAGCCACCACCCAGCTGAAACTAGATTCTTAATACATTCCATTCACTAAAATAAATTTCAGATGATCAAAAAGTTCAACTAAAAATAAAATGCTAAAAATATTGGAAGAAAATAGTTCCACCTTGTAAAATACGGAACAGCCTTTCTAAGCAAGGCATGAAACCCAGAATCTATGAAAGAAAAGATTAATAAATTAGTCTGTATGAAAATTAACCTTGCTCACAGCAAAAAAAAATATAAGCAGAGTCAAAAACAAGTGACATTGTGGGTACAAAAATAAATTTTATAACATATTACAGATACAATTGACTAAATTTTTTAGTAACTCTGCCCTTGGGCAATTATTTAACTCTGTGTTCCTTAGTTTATTTATTTTATTTTATTTATTTATTTGCGACGGAGTCTTACTCTGTCTCCCAGGCTGGTGTGCAGTGGTGTGATCCCGGCTCACCGAAACCTTCACCTCCCAGGTTTAAGCAATTCTTGTGCTTTAGCCTCCTGAGTAACTGGGATTACAGGCACGTGCCACCGTGCCTGGCTGGTTTTTGTATTTTTAGTAGAGATGGGGTTTCACCATGTTGGCCAGGCTGGTCTCGACCTCCTGACCTCAAGTGATCCGCCTGCCTTGGCCTCCTAAAGTGCTGGGATTACAGGTGTGAGCCACTGAGTCTGGCCAGTTTCTTAATTTTTAAAATGAATTAATACATAAGGAAAGTATAAAAAGCACATGGCCAGGCACGGTGGTTGATGCCTATAATCCCAGTACTTTGGGAGGCCAAAGTGGGAAGATCGCTTGAAGCCAGGAGTTTGACACCAGCCTGGGCAACACAGGGATGACCCCATCTCTCCAAAAAATTTTTAAAAAAATTAGCCAGGCGTGGTGGTGCACACCTGTAGTCCCGGCTACTTGGGAGAATGAGGCAGGAGGATCACTTGAGCCTAGGAGATCGAGGCTGCGGTGAGCTGTGATCACACCACTGCACTCCAGCCTGGGAACAGAGTGAGACCCTCTCAAAAAAATCTCAACAAAAAAAAGCACGTGGGTTATAGTAAACACTCAAGTAAATGTTAGCTATTCTATGTATGTTTATATATACATTTGATCATGTATAGAAAATGTATGAATTAACTCAGAAGAACATGGAAGAGGGCAGGACCAGACTGTACTCAGAAGCCAGCAGCTTAAAAAGTGTCACTCATTATTTAAAAAATGTAAATTCAAACCGTAATTTACCATTTTCTTCTCGGCATGGTTTTGCAAATATATCAGTGATTAAAGAATTGCACTGATAGAGACGATGGGGTAATCCTTGGCCACTGGGTTCTTTGGAAGGTGACATATGATCTTCACGTCAGGTAATATGCCAATGACGTAACAGTTTGAGGGAGGCATATTTGACACATGTGCGTGAAAACCCACTCATGACACTGATGAACTACAAAAGGATCTGGAAGGAGATTTTAAGGAAGATTTGTGTTTCTAGGGCCAGAGTACCAAGCGTATTTCTGTTAGATATTTTAAATGACTCTTTTTTTTCCCTTTGTGAAAGGGATGTCATATAATCAACTCTGGTTTCCCCTACAGAAAGCCCTGGAGATCTAACTAGAAGTCCAGAGATGGATAAACTCAAGTCAGTAGCAAAGTGCTATGCTTATATAGAAACATCCTCCAACTCGGCAGACATTGACAAGATGACAAATGGAGAAACCTCATCCTACTGGCAGTCAGATGGCAGTGCCTGTTCACACTGGATTCGGTGGGTGGTATATAATACTTTTTTGTTTTTTAAAATTTTGGATTGTTTTCTTCTTAACTGCCTACTCTTTGTATTTTAAGTGGCTATGAAGATGCTTTAAGAATCAAGTAAAATGAATCATGTAAAATCATGTAACCTGGCTTATATATTCCTAACAGATAATTTCCCTGATATTTTAAAGGAGGAAATAACATTTGATTAATTTTAGATTAGTACTGATTTCATATCTTTTTTCACTAGTTTCTCAGGAAAATTAATACCACAAAGAATAAGTACTTACATGTGACTGTATTTTGAAATATCCTTTCTCTACTTTTTTTTTTCTTTTTAAGACAGGATCTTATTTTTGTCTCCCAGGCTGGAGTGCAGTGGTGCAGCCATAGCTCACTGTAACCTCAGACTCCTGGGTTCAAGCAGTCCTCCTGCCTCAGTCTCAGTCGCTGGGATTTAGGCAGGCACCACCATACCTGGCTAATTTCTTTATACTTTTTTGTAGAAATGGGGCCTCACTACGTTGCCCAGGCTTGTCTCAAACTCCTAGCCTTAATCCTCCTATCTTGGCCTCCCAAAGTGTTGGGTTTATAGGTGTGAGCCACTGCACCCGGTCCCTTTCTATACTTCTTTTTTTTTTTTTGAGATGGAGCCTTGCTCTGACGCCCAGGCTGGAGTGCAGTGGCATGATCTCTGTTCACTGCAACCTCCATCTCCAAGGCTCAAGCGATTCTCCTGCCTCAGCCTCCTGGGTGGCTGGGATTAAAGCTGCCCACCACCACACTCAGCTAATTTTTGTATTTTTAGTAGAGACAGGGTTTCACCATGTTGGCAGGCTGGTCTCAAGCTCCCAACTTCTCAAAGTGCTGGGATTACAGGCGTGAGCCACCGTGCCTGGCCTCTTTCTATATACATTTTTGAAATTCACTGTATGTAACTGAGTTGGTCACTTTAGAAGAAGAAATAGTGTGGTCAAGAATCCTGGAGTGGAGCTAATGATAATAAACAGTGGTATTTCTGGAAGCTCTGAAGCTGCTATTGAAATTTTCACCTCTCCCCTCAGAAAACAGGCTAATTCCAATTGGTAGAATTAAGTGCCAGAAATAATTATATTGTTTTCTCTTAGAGGACACATTTGACCTTTAGACATCTAATTTATAGATGAGAGAGTATACTCAGTTTTTTTGTATGCAGTTTAAAATTAGCTTTTTTGCCAGGTAAAGGGATTTTGTTAGAATGTTCATACTGTTCGTTCTTTCTGTACAAATAGCTTAAAAGGAATCGTAAGATTAATCTTGAACTGAAAGGTCTTTAAAAAATGTGGGAAGGTCAAGGTCAGAAGGACTTTGAAACTCATAGCCAGCATTTCAAGTTAGTTGCTGTTAGGAAAACCAGTCTTTGGATATATCAAATGTAAGCTCTTTGAGGTGGGACTTCTGGATCCTGTCAGTTCTTGACTCCTATAAACATTTGTAATTTCTGCTTTTTGTGTTTTCCAGTTTAAAAATGAAGCCAGATGTTGTGCTTAGGCACCTGTCCATTGCAGTGGCTGCCACTGACCAGAGCTACATGCCACAGCAGGTGACAGTAGCTGTAGGGAGGAATGCCAGCGATCTTCAGGAAGTCCGAGATGTGCACATCCCCAGCAATGTCACTGGCTATGTGACGCTGCTGGAAAATGCCAACGTCAGTCAGCTCTGTAAGTCCAACAGAACTGAGGGGATAGGGAAAAGCAAGGGAGTAGTATTTTTTACTTTGAAGTGAAGAGGCTGTTAGTTTTTGAGATTCGGTTTGCTTCTTAGGACGTACACAAAAGTGTTCATTATTTCATTCATTAAGTGTTGTAGAAATTATAGAAAAGCGTCGGGGCATGCTGGCTCACGCCTGTAATCCCAGCACTTTGGGAGGCCAAGGCAGGTGAATCACTTGAGATCAGGAGTTCGAAAACAGCCTGGCCAACATGGTGAAACCCTGTCTCTACTAAAAATACAAAAATTATCCAGGCGTGGGGGTGGGTACCTGTAATCCCAGCCACTTGGGGGGCTAAGGCAGAAGAATCACTTGAACCCAGGAAGCTATGGCTGCAGTGAGCTGAGATCACACCACTGCACTCCAGCCTGGGTGACAGAGCAAGACTCCATCTCAAACCAAAAAAAAGAAGGAAATTATAGAAGAACAGTGAAATCATTTTTTTCATTAAAAACAAAACAAAACATATATATATATATATATATATATATATATATATATATATATATATATATATATATATATTTAGACAGGATCTCTTTTTGTCACCCAGGCTGGAGTGCAGTGGTACAGTCATAGCTCACTGTAACCTCAGACTCCTGGGTTCAAGCAGTCTTCCTGCCTCAGTCTCAGTAGCTGGAATGTAGACATGCACCGCGATGCCTGGCTAATTTCTTTACACTTTTTTGTAGAAATGGGGCCTCACTGTGTTGCCCAGGTTGATCTCAAACTCCTGGCCTTTATGCTCCTACCTTGGCCTCCCAAAACGTTGGGATTATAAATATATATATATATATAAACATATATATAAAATATGTTTTTATATATGTTTATACATATTTATATATTGTGTATGCTTATATGTGTAATATATATGTTTTTTCTATATATTTTTTTTTTGAGACAGAGCCTCGCATTGTCGCCTGGGCTGGAGTGCAGTGGTGCAGTCTCAGCTCACTGCAACCTCCACCTCCGGGGTTCACGCAATTCTCCTGCCTTAGTCTCCCGAGTAGCTGCGATTACAGGCGCACACCACCATACCCACCTAATTTTCTGTATTTTTAGTAGAGACGGGGTTTCACTATGTTGGACAGACTGGTCTCGAACTACTGACCTCATGATCCGCCCGCCTCGGCCTTCCACAGTGCTGGGATTACAGGCATGAGTCACTGCACTGGCCCATTAAAAATAATTTTATTCACATTTTCATATTGGAAAATTAGAAAAATATAAACAAAAATACTCAAATCCTACTACCCAGGGATTGTTACTATGATTGCCTTGATGTGGATCCTTGCAGACCTTTCCGTGTGTGTGTGTATTTGTGTGTGTAAGTGTGTGTATGGTTTACATACACACACATATATGCACACATATCTACACACCTTTTTTCCTAAAAAATAGAGCTGTATGTATCTGTTCACATAAATCTATACATATCTTTTTACAAAAATGTTGATATTCTTTGCATGTTCTTTTGTAATTTTTTAGAGTGTGTTATATTCACGAATATCCTTATTTAGTGTTGTAAAAATATGCCGTAATTGGCTGGGTGCAGTGGCTCACACCTCCAATCCCAGCACTTTGGGAGGCTGAGGCATGCAGGTCACTTGAGGTCAGGAGTTCTAGACCAGCCTGGCCAACATGGTGAAACTCCGTCTCTACCAAATACAAAAATTAGCCGGGCGTGGTGGCGCATGCCTGTAATCCCAGCTACTTGGGAGGCTGAGGCAGGAGAATCACTTGAACCCAGGAGGCGGAGGTTGCAGTGAGCTGAGATTGTGCCACTGCACTCCTCCAGCCTGGGTGAACAGAGCAAGACTCCATCTCAAAAAAAAAAAAAAAAAAAGCCGTAATTTTAACCCACCCCTCATTCTTGGACATTTAGATTGTTTCCAATTTTATACCATTATAACCTTGCTTTAAACATAGCATTTTGGAAATAATCACAATTCTGTGATTGCTTTCTGGGCTTATTTCGTTCAGGGAGCCGGAATGCTTCATGTTTTATCTCATTTCTTCTAATGCTTTCCTGGGCCAAAAGAAGTGTTCTTTGCTCAAAGGAACTGAGGCCTAGGGAGGTAGAGTCTTTGTGTCTCACCCCTAGCAAATAAGTAGTTAGGCCTGTGGGTTAGAAGCTTCCTGTCTTATATTGTGATCTTTTCTCTAAGTTGTGTCCTTTTTAAATTCTTACCTTCTCTCCTCTGACCCAAATAAGAAATTGTGACATCTCTTAAAAGTGAGTCATGTCTGTGTCATCTGTTTGGATTTGATTATTAAAAATAAATTCTCACAATTGCTTGTAAGCCAGCCACTGTTCTATAACTTAATCCAAATTTCAGAATCCTAGGAAGAATTCTAGAAATGTTCTTACCATGTATTCAGACAGGCTTGTTTTAAAATGTTCTTTGTGTAGTTTTTTCAAGACTCCTAAGTTCCTAAGAAGTTTTGTTGTAAAGACTTAAATCACCCTTAATTTTACATATTATTCTTATGATTTCTTAGATTTGTCAAAGCTTTTTGACAAATTTATTATATACTAGTTCCATTGCACATGCTATTTATTTCTGTCATCAAAGTGTACCTTCAGAATTTTCTTTTCAAAATGTCTATTACTATTTTGCTTTTAGTTGGGAGCCCAGCATTTGCCTAAAGAAGTTAATCCAATACTGAATTTTTTGTTTGTGCTCGACAGATGTCCAGATTAACATAAAGCGTTGTCTTAGCGATGGCTGCGACACTAGAATTCATGGTCTCAGGGCTGTTGGCTTTCAGAGAGTTAAGAAGTCTGGGGTCTCAGTCTCAGATGCTTCTGCAATATGGTATTGGTCTCTGCTGACATCTCTGGTGACGGCTTCTATGGAGACAAATCCCGCCTTTGTCCAGACAGTGCTGCACAATACTCAGTAAGTCATTCTCTCTATGTTCCAGCCCCCTCAACATGCCCTCATTCTCCCATCATCCTTTAGGGCGTATCACTGAGCAGCCTTCCATCATTGATCGTTGTGGCTCAGTCAGCTCGGCCTCAGGTGCCCTAGTGTTTCCTGTTCGTGCCACTCAGCTCCACAGTGTATCTCTCTTTGATTGACGTTCTGACTTTACAGACTGAAAAAGTGCCCATTCCACCTTCCTGCTCCTCGTCACACAGTTCCTACAGTGTTCTTCATCAGCTCACTAAGTGGACCAGTCTTGTGAGGAGGTCACTTATGCTGTGCCTGTTCCTTGTCCATTGGGAAGTAATTGCTCATGTTTCTATAGGATTTGATGTTGGATAAAGCCCTTTCAGATGCAGTCTATTATTTTACCTACTGACACTGAAGTGTACCTGTGAAAATCACCCCATTTTATAGACGCAGATGTTGTGACCTTTCCTGAAGTCACAAGACCAGGCTGCAGTAATGGATCAGTTGAGGGCTCTTTCCACGAATGAGTGAAATCTTTTCAGGGTACTAAATTAATTTCTTTTGAAATGTAGAGTACTTTTGAAAAAAAATCATTAGGGCAAAAAGACCAAATAGTAACATATAAGACAAATACAACCAGCTATAGCAGCACTGAAATATTAGTATTGTGCAGATTCAGTAACTGATAATAGGTACCTATAGTGTAGGCGGTGAGAGTATCAGCCAAAAAGAGATTGCTAATATTTTGTTCTCTAGACATCTTTTGAGATTTGTTAGCACTATTGAGTAAAACTGTTAGCAAATAACACTGCTGCTCTGAAGGTTAATAGTTGGCCATACCTTGTTCTTTCTTCCTGTTGTAGCATGTATTCTCACTAAATTATTTCATACTTAGAGAAGCACTGCAAGTTTACATTTAACAAATAATTTTTATTTCTTCCTCAGTCATTAGAGAGTAATTTGCCTGCCTGTGCCCCATCGTTCCTGCTGCTTTAGTGTGTATTTCCTGTAAACAAGAACATTTACTGACAACCATTGAAATCAGGAAATCCACATTGGTGTACATTGCTATGTTGCCACCATCTCATCCTCAGACTCCCTGCAAGTTTTGCACGTTGCCCCAGTCACGCCCCTTACAGCAAAAGGATCCAGCGAAACACTCTGCATTTCTTTGTCCTTTCTCTTTAGTTTCCTTCATTCTGAAACAATTCCTCAGTATTTCCTTGACTTTCCTCAGTATTTCCTTGACCCTGATACTTTTGAAAATTACAGGTCAGTTATTTTGAAGAGTGTCCTTCAATTCTGGTTTATTTGATGTTTTATTGTGATCAGATTGAGGTTTTGTTATCTGTCTCTAGCAGGAATATCATAGAAGTGATGCTTTGTTCTCATTGCATCCCATTGGGTTGCACACAACTTCAGATAGTCCTCATTCTAATGCAGTCTTGTTAACTTTGATCACTTGATTAAAGTGGTTTTTGCCAGACTTTTCCATTGTAAAATAAATATTTTTCACTTCATAATTAATAAATACGTTGAAGGCGGTACTTTGAGACTATGTAAATATCGTATTCCTCATCAAAACTTTATGTTAGTGGATTCCTCTTTTATGCACTAGATTATAGTCAGCCACAGTTTTGATGCTTATGTTATCCTGGAGTTGGCTGGTGGCAACCCCTGCAGTCTGGCTTGTGTGTCCTTTTGACATGTCTCATTATTCTCGGAATGCTTCCATATGTTCTGACACAAGATATTCCAGGCTTATCTTGAATGTTCCCTGCATTAGTCCTGGAATCAGCCATTTTTCTGAATCAGGGGCTCTTTAGGTGGAGATCCACCCACCTCGGTCTCCCAAAGTGCAGAGATTACAGGCATGAGCCACCATGCCCAGCCTATTTCTTTATTTGTGACTGCCTTCTCTGATACTAAGAAACTTGCTTCCCATGATCCTTAATACATTTTTTGTACTTACTCAGTTCGCCTCTATGTAACCAGTGTCCCATTGCCCCTGCCCTTGCATGGACACCCTCCCTATCCCATTCCTGCTCCAGCATCTTTTGCAGAGCTGCTGCTGTGGCCATCCTTGCACAGATGCCCTTCTTATCTTCCTCGAGTTCCTATACCCTGTGCCAGGCCACCCTTCTTGCCTCACTTGGTGCCTGCATTCCATATCAGGCCGTACCTTTGTGAAGACACCTTTCTCACCCTGCTCAGGCTCTAAAACCTCACTGTAGGCCACCATGACGACTCCCCCTTACTCCCCAGACACATACAAATGTCTGCACTGCACAGTCCCATCTTGTGGACTGGATTTTCAGGAAAAGGAAGAGGTTTCTATATTTTTTTTGAAGATGTGGCAAGTGGTTGAAGAATGGACAGATTTTAAAGTCTGTGTCCCTGCTCAGTTTTACTAGTTCATCTGCAATGATATTTTCATGCACTCCTGCCTTTTTAAGATTAGTGATCTAAATCTATTTTAAAATTAAAGATTTATTGAAAAAATATCAATGAGGAAAAATAGGTAAGGAAAAGAATATTTTGGGACAGAAGTGTTGCCTGTATCAGTGGAAATAAATTCAGTAAATGATCGCATGCTACTTGTGTGCATTAAACCTCACTGATCAGCTGCATCTGTGTGTAGCTGCCATGTTTGTGCAACCCCAAAATGGCTCATTGTGTAGACAGGAACAGAACTAGGGCAGAGTGCGAGCTGACAGTGTTTGCTTTGCTTTATTGTCTCTATTTTGAAATGTAGAAATGAAATTGTTTCAGGGATTTTCATTACCATTATCATTAAGCGACTATCAGTTGTAGAATTTTGAGTTACTTTTGATACATTCACAGAATACCTTGAAATTTTTCATGGTACATTCAGTCACCTAGCACAGTTGCTGGCACACAGTAGGGCTCAGAAGTCATTTGTTGCGTAAATTTTTGATGACTGCTAATCTAGAGTAGGTAAAGCTATTGGGGGATTCAGAAAGATAAATGTAAGCAAAGACAAGAAAAGGGAAACACTAAAACAGACATTAAGGTGGAAAGGCCAAGAAACATGGCAGGAATGGAGACGGTGATGTGCTAATCTGTTTAAGAGAACATAACATTCATGGCACATCTTTAGATACCATAGATCTTCAGATCCTAGCTATAAAATTTTCTTTTGTTTTTTTTTTTTCCCTGTTGCTGCTGAACAAATTATAAAATAAATTTTCTACTGAGCCTCAAGCTGCTCTGCCTCTTGGGTCAGTTTTTCTAGTACTACTTAACATGAAAGCTGGATTCTAGAGAGTTGAATAAGTTTTATTCAACAGAGGGAGGCAGAACTCCTAAAAGAAAGAAAGAAACAAACAAACACAAAACCCTATTAAACTACTTAGCACTGTGACTCCTGGGCAAAAAGGGATAGTTTAGGCTGGGCACGGTGGCTTACACCTGTAATCATAGCACTGTGGGAGGACGAGGTAGGTGGATCACGAGGTCAGGAGTTCAAGCCCAGCCTGGCCAAGATGGTGAAACCCTGTCTCTACTAAAAATACAAATTAGTCAAGCGTGGTGGCGGGCTCCTGTAATCCTAGCTACTCAGGAAGCTGAGGCAGGAGAATCGCTTGAACCTGGGAGGTGGAGGTTGCAGTGAGCCGAGATCGCACCACTGCACTCTAGCCTGGGTGATAGAGCGAGACTCCGTCTCAAAAAAAAAGAAGGGCCAGTTTATATTGTGTGCCAGCTTCTCTGTGGGAACACTGTCTGTTTATAAGGGATTAGTCAAAACAAGCTTCTAACAGTTTATTTTTTGTCTAAATTCGGTCTGGTTTTGTTCTGATTACATTTTACATTTTCCTCTTCTAGGAAGGCGCTGCGGCACATGCCTCCACTCTCTCTCTCACCAGGATCTACAGATTTCTCAACTTTCCTCTCCCCTAATGTGCTGGAAGAAGTGGACAGTTTCCTCATAAGGATAACTAGGTAAAATCAAGGCTGATGAGGGTAAACTCTGTGAGGAATGGAGTGCACGTATGCTTGTTAAGTCTTTAAAAAATATATATTAATCTTTTAACGATCACCACTAAAAATGGTTGCTTTTTAGCAGCTAAAGAGAAAGTGACATAATAGTTCACTCATCTAAAGTCCACTATTTAGCAGTATCACCTGACCTGAAGAATTGGGAAGGTTGGTGAGGGGTGTTGCAGGGCCCAAGGGGAGTAGTCCTGTGATTCTGATAGAACAGATGTCTCAAAGTCCAACTGGCATAGCCTTCCCTCACTCAGAACCTGCTGACCTTCACATGCAGGTCCAGGGAGCCTGATTACCTACAGAACTGGGAAAGGGCACCTGGATAGCTTGATAGCAGTGACCACTTTGTGTAGGGACACTCACTTCTGCCTCAGTGAGCCCTGAGGACATTATTGCATTAGAGGTCAAACCAGTCCCTGAGCCATCTAGACAGTTTTTAACGTTTCAGTATAATGTGTTTAAATTAAAAGCAAAGAAGTGTAATTCAGTGTGATACATTTTTAGTGCTTCAAGCATAAACCCTCAACTCTCTGGTCAAGCCAGCTCATTACCCAAGGCTTCTTAATAGCAGAGGCTTATTACAGTAGCGTATTGGTATTATTTAATATTTAAAGATTAAAGATTATAGAAGTGAGGCTTTCATTCCCTGGCTCTCTGGATTGATTTAATTTTTCCTTAGGTTACCTTAAGGATTTTGAAAAATATTTCGGATAAACCTGTAGAAAGCATATGGCAGGTTAATGTTACTTGTGTTGATCACTTACATGGGGTTTGAGCTACCTGGATTTTTTCATGTTTTTAAGAAGTGAAAAGTTTTTGCTCTTTGCTTATAGCTGCTGTTCTACCCCAGAGGTAGAACTGACTCTTCTGGCTTTTGCTCTCGCAAGAGGAAGTGTTGCCAAAGTCATGAGCTCTCTATGCACCATCACTGACCATCTGGACACGCAGTATGATGCCTCATCCCTCATCTTGTCCATGGCGTCAGTCAGACAGAACCTGCTCCTCAAATATGGTAAATATGGTAAAACATGGGGGTGATAGAAATGTCAACAGTGGACAAATCGTAAAACCATTCTTCGCCATATGACCTCCTGGTATCTTCTCATCTTTTTGGGTTGTTATAGTTACACCATGATTCCTGGATGAACGTATCCTCTGAGTATCAGACCTTACTAGGATTGGCAGGGAGAAGGGGGATTTAGGTTCATTTATGTGATGGCAGTATCACCAGAAGAGGACACTTGATTGTCCACAAGGCTATACTCCCATGATCTGCTTGCAAAATTACTCAGGTCTGGTGGCCATTTGAACACAGCCATCTTTGGTGAAGTACTGAAGTGTCTCATTGTGTAGGCCAAGAGGGTTGGAGTAGTTCTTACCTGTTGGAGGGAGGAAACTAGCCAAGATACGGTGCAAAGGGATCTTTGTCTTAGAATGCATTCCTCTGCATTCCCGTGATAGCTGCTCTGAAGGATTTGGACACCTGTCTGCCACTGCTTTCCCCCCTTGGGCCTAGCAGTAATTCATATGAGCACTTTTCTACCAAACCAGGATGGGGCCTTATAATCCTTCTCAACATGGGAGCCCATAAAGTCACTCCCAAAAGACTGCAGTGCAGCACTTCTACTTGTGAGTGCAGCCTTCCTGGACTCCACAATATGTGGTGTTGGGTCTCATCCTGTTGGCAGTATTCCAGTGACATTTCTACCCTTTTATTTATTTTGAGAGAGAGTGTCTTGCTGTGTTGCACAGATTGGAGTGCAGTGGCATGATCACGGCTCACTGCAGCCTTGACCTCCCAGGCTCAAGTGATCCTCCTGTGTCACTCTCCCGAGTACCTGGGACCACAGGTGCATGCCAGCATACCTGGTTAATTTTTAAAAATTTTTTGTAGAGATTGGGTCTCACTATGTTGCCCAAGCTGGTCTTGAACTCCTAGGCTGAAGCAGTCCTCCCACCTTGGCCTCTTAAAATCCTGGGACTGCAGGCGTGAGCCACCACACCTGGCTTCTGCCGTGAGGTTTCTACCTTCGTCTTAGTGTGACTGACTTAATGGCTTCTTTTTATGTTTATTTTTATTTTTATTTATTTATTTTTTGAGACAGAGTCCTGCTCTGTCATCCAGGTTGGAGTGCACTGGCATAATCTGAGCCCACTGCAGCGTCCACCTCCCAGGTTCAGGTGATCCTCTTGCCTCAGCCTCCTGAGTAGCTGGGACTATAGGCATGGGTCACCACACCTGGCTAGTTAAAAATTTTTTTTTTTTTAGAAATGAGCTCTCCCCATGTTGACCAGGCTGGTCTCAAACTCCTGGACTCAAGCAGTACTCCCACCTCAGCCTCCCAAAGTGCTGGAATTTACAGGCATGAGCCATGATGCCCAGCCTGTTTAATTTTTTTTTTCTTTTGCCTGTTTAAATTTTTAAGTTAGACAATTGGTGTCCTGTAAATCTAGTTTCCTCCCTAAATTTTGAAAGGTTATTTTCTTGGGTGGTTGGGGGTTGCACTGGTCAACAGCCCAGAGCAGCCATGGCTGGATAGAAGGGATAGCAGGTAGTGTCTGGAAGCTGAATAGAATTTAGATTAATGGTTGTTCAGGCAGGGAGCAGTGGATAGGAAGGAATGGGGTAATGTTCTAGTTCTAGGTCATATCATAGGTGAACAGGTGTACATTCTATTATTAAAACAAAAGGAAAACATTTTCAGATCATCATAGCAAAAGTTGATTTATATGTATATATAAATATATATTTTTTTTTGCCAAAGCCAAGTGTTCTGAAAAAGTTGATTTTTCTAATTCTTGAAACAGAAATTTTGCCTGCAGAGATGATTTAAAGAAACGAGACCTAAAATATTTTATATTTAAATGCAATTGTAATAAAGTTAATTATTGGCTCCAAAACAGTATCTTAGGAATCACCCCCCCAAATGTGTTCAATCTATGTTATCAACCTATGTCTTATAATGTCCTTTTTTCAGAACAATGATTGTTCTAGAAAGCTGTCCTTGGAATCACTCAGGGCCATAGCTGTACTTTGTCTCTTTCAGGAAAGTACAAAGGGATGGTGTCAACTTTTGTCTGATATTACTGCTCTATTTCAGCTTTTAAACAGGGAGATTTTTAGTTAGCAGTCTGGGTAGCCACAGGACTCTATTTCCACAGATAGGCATGCTAGTTTCCAGTTCTTCATATTTTAGCTTACAGCTTGGTCTTCCTTTTCTTTGGTCAGGTAAACCTCTCCAGTTGACTCTTCAGGCATGTGATGTCAAAGGAAAAGAAGATAAGTCTGGACCCGAAAACCTCCTTGTTGAACCGTGGACAAGGGATGGTGAGTGGTGGGTCTGTCTGTTTCTAGTGTGCTCGGTAGACAGGAGTCAGCTGTGTGAAAGCACACTCCAGACTTTGAAATGTTTGAGGCGTGCAGTCTTCAATTTTAGGTTGTTTCTCAGTTGGCAGTGGTTGCTGAGCAATTTGTGTGGTGTAGTTGTAATCTGCCTAGGTGTCAATGACTATAACAACTCAGAAGTATTTGAGAGCCTGAAGTTTTGAAAAGCAAGGATTCTTTCTCTTGGAATATAAAAAGTTACTATTTTTTTTAATCGTTTTTTCAGTTCCAATTGTCTTTCTATTGTGTTATCTTCAGGTGGTAGGAAACTCAGCAGATCAGTAGCACTTTACTACTGACTGAAAACATAGTTTAAGAAGGGTATTTCCAGGCCGGGTGCAGTGGCTCACACCTGTAATCCCAGCGCTTTGGGAGGCCGAGGTGGGAGGATCACTTGAGGCCAGGAGTTCAAGACAAGCCTGGCCAACATGGTGAAACCCCATCCCTAATAAAAAAACTACAAAAATTAGCTGTTGTGGTGGCAGGGCACCTGTAATTCCAGCTACTTGGGAGGCTGAGGCATGAGAATCACTTGAACCCGGGAGGTTGAGGTTGCAGTGAACTGAGATCCCGCCACTGCCTTCCAGCCTGGGTGACAGAGCGAGACTCTGTTTCAAAAAAACAAAACAAAACAAAGAAGGGTATTTCCAGATATAGCTGATGTAGTATTTGCGTGTCTAGAGGAAGCCTCACTCTTTTCCTAGTGTCAACATAATAATTGCTGATGTGCTTTTCAACTTTGCTGGAGGCTCTTTCCTTATCTCGTGATAAGGTGTTTGTGAGTCTCTCATTCGTCTTGTTGGCCGCCTTGTTATTGTCCTCTGTGTCCCTTTTTTCCTCACTGGACTGATTTGAATCTTGCTGATTCACTAGAGGAAGTGGAATGTTCCAGCAGTGATCAGACATTGAAAGGGACTAGCCTTGCTGCTTTGCGTCTGGTTCTCCTCGGCTTTCCTCTCAGCAATGAGTCCTCGTATGTTCTCAGTGGTTGCCTCTTCTCTGTCCCGTTTCCTGTATTCGTTCTCAGCACTCATGGAGTCCAGACCCTAGGAGAACATGCTTTTCCCAGCTGCACCTCCTCTCCTCAGTGCTCCTCTTCAGCAGTAGATGCTTAAAGCAGATTGTTTCCCTGTGGTTTTCCCTGAGCAGCTCAGCCTGTGCAGAAACGTTTTTCTTTACCACATCCATCTCCAGCCACACTGAAGGCCATGGCTGGCTGTGAGGCTCCTGCCATCCAAAGTGGGTGGGGCTGGGAGGGGGTGGTGTTAGCTCCTTGTCCCTTTCCCTTCCCCTCACCCAAGAAAGCCAAGACCACCCTGCCAAAGGCCCTCTGCATTTTTCCTTCACTTGCTGAAGATTTGGAATTTTTGTTCCTGGAGCATGTGAGGAAGTGGATTTTTTATTTCTTTATTTTTATATTTTTTTGAGACGAAGTCTCACTCTATCGCCCAGGCTGGAGTGCAGTGGTATGATCTTGGCTCACTGCAACCTCCTCCTCCCGGGTTCAAGCCATTCTTCTGCCTCAGCCTTCCGAGTATCTGAGACTACAGGCGCCCGCCACCACGCCCGGCTAATTTCTTGTATTTTTAGTAGAGACGGGGTTTCACCACGTTAGCCAGGATGGTCTCGATCTCCTGACCTCGTGAGCCACCGTGCCCGGCTGGATGTGGATTTTTAACATTGTTCACGGGCATTTCTCCTGGTAATAGATTTTGCCAGCTCTTGTGCCTGGTCTGATTTGAATATTTTGTTATTTTCCCTGTGTCTTTTACCTACCCAGTTCTCCTTCCTGCTTTTTCCCCTCCTTAGATTGAGTGGATTTTAAAAATCTAGCTGTAGTTTGTGGATTTGTTATTTTTGCCATGTGCCTGAGAAACACAAGGGTGGGATGTGAATGGGTGTGGGGAGCACTGGGTTCCTCCTGCTCACTCCCTCCAGCCATCACTATCTATTGCTTGTAACTCAGGGTTGATGTCGGTCTCTCTTGCTGCACTGCAAAAAGTAACCCTTAAGGGACAAGACAAGAGGAAAGTACTCATGGCCAGAGCTGTTGGGTTTGGGGGTGATTTTTTCTTCCCCTTATCGGAGTAAAAGCTCTTCTCATGGGTACACGTCTGATTCTCCAACAGTGGGGAAGTACCACTTTTGGACAAGTGCCACTGCAGGGCCCACAGAATGCCCAGAGAACTCAAACGCTGATACTTCAGGGGGCTAACGTTCCTGGCAGTCACCACTGTCACTTGGTCTGGTATTTTAAAGGAATACTGGGTGCTCCTGATAGGAGCAGAAGTGGTAGATTTATTAAGTCCTTTAAATCTGATTGGTTATTTTTTTTTTCCCTGTTATCTAAAAAGAATAAATTGGCAAGTGGAGGGCAGGGTGTCAAAACTTATAGATTTAAAATATCACAGTTCAGCTGGGTGCAGTGGCTCACACCTGTAATCCCAGCAATTTGGGAGGCCGAAGCAGGCAGATCACCTGAGGTCAGGAGTTCGAGACCAGCCTGGCCAACATGGTGAAACCCCATCTCTACTAACAGTACAAAAATTAGCCAGGCATGGTGGCAGGCACTTGTAGTCCCAGCTACTTGGGAGGCTGAGGCAGGAGAATTGCTTGAACCCGGGAGGCGGAGGTTGCAGTGAGCTGAGATTGCGCCATTGCACTCCCACCTGGGTGACAAGAGCAAAACTCTGTCTCAAAAAAAAAAAAAAAAAAATCACAGTCAAACCTGTGAGCTAGGCTGGACACAGTGGCTCATGCCTGTAACCCCGACACTTTGGGAGGCAGAGGTGGGAGGATTTCCTGAGGCCAACAGTTTGAGACCATCCTGGGTAACATAGTGAGATCCAGTCACTACAAAAAATGAAATAAAAAATTAGCTGGGCATGGTGGTGTTTGCCTGTGGGCCTACTTAGGCTGAGGCAGGAGGATTGTTTGAGCCCAGGAGTGTAAGGTCGCAGTGAGTTATGATTGTACCACTGCACTCCAGCCTGGGCAACAGAGCGAGACCCTGTGTCTAAAAAACAAAAGAGAAAAATGAAAAAAACCACGTGAGCTGATTTCTTACCAAGAAAAGGAAGCACAGAAGTTTTATTTTTTTTTTTAAGGTTTTGTTTTTGTTTTGCCTTTCTGAAAAAATGTCATTGCATATTTGGTGGCAGTGTTATTTTAAAAGAGTCTATCCGATTCTGTTGACTTAAATTATTGCTTCTGCTACTACATTGAGACTAACTAAAATTGCTGATTTATCACTTAACTTTTAGACAATAGTTTAGCCTTTACATAGATTTCTTTTACATAGAGACATCCAGGGCTCTGGGAAAAGGTAAGAGTTCAATAATTGGGATAGTTCTTAGTATTACTGTTAGTGGAGTTGTGTGAATTGTTGGTAGTATGGATTCTTAAAATTGCCTATAGAATTGCTCTTTCATAGAACTAGATCATAGAGCGTCTGTGTGAATTAGAGAAGTTTCCTTTGGATTTAATTTTCTTAGTTTTGGTGACTCATTTTGCACATTGTCTTTATAAATTTTTGTTGGCTTGAACTCCATGTAATGAAACAGGAAGCATGAAATTGGTTTTAGTCTTGTCATTTTGATAGGCAGAATTGTTAAGAAAATTCAGAGTCCCAGAAAAAAAAGCTTATTTATTGCTGAGTTATATCATTTAGAGACGTTTGAAAGAGAAAGGCAACCTTGGGTCTAGCAGAAGACTTTTTCATGAGTTGTTAAAGGATAATTACCAACAATCAAAAAAGGAAAATAGTGACTGTCATACAAATATAAGTGAACACATTCATACTTTTAATTTATTTACTTTAATTTATTTATTCATTCATTCATTCATTTGAGACAGGGTCTCACTCTACTGCCCAGACTGGAGTGAAGTGTTGTGATGATAGCTCACTGCAACCTCCACCTCCCAGGCTCAAGCGATCCTCCCACCCTGGCCTCCCAAGTAGCTAGGATTGCAGGTGTGCACCACCGTGCCCAGCTGATTTTTTTTTTTTTTTTTTTTTGAGTTGGAGTCTCACTCTGTCACCCAGGCCGGCTGGAGTGCAATGGTGAGATCTCAGCTTACTGCATCCTCCGCCTCCCGGGTTCAAGCGATTCTCCTGTCTCATCCTCCTGAGTAGCTGGGATTACAGGTGTGTGCCACCACGCCCGGCGAATTTTGTGTTTTTAGTAAAGATGGGGTTTTCACCATGTTGGCCAGGCTCGTCTCGAACTCCTGACCTTAAGTGAACTGCCTGCCTCAGCCTCCCAAAGTGCTGGGATTATAGGTGTGAGCCACCACACCCACCTTGATTTTTGCTTTTTTTTTTTTTTTTTTTGGTAGAAATGGGGTCTCACTGTGCTGCCCAGGCTGGTTTTGAGGCTCAAGTGATCCACTGGCCTCAGCCTCCCAAAGTGCTGGGATTACAGGCATGAGCTACTGTGCCTGGCCCAGACTTTTTATTTAGCTCATTAATTAATGAGGGAACCAGTAAGATGTTACAAACAGTTCTAAGGAGAATTCATAAAATACATGTAGACTAACAAGAATGCTAAAATTAATTTACAAATAGATAGAATGTTGGTCAGTATCCATAAGGAATAATCAGCAACATTTCCACAGAACACAGTGTTTAGTTCTGTGGACAAGAATCATGTGCATCACTACCAGTGTTCTACAACTTACAGAATTGTAAAATAGTTTAGAGACCATAAAAGGCAGAGACGACCGAAAGGGTATGTTGGCTAGGACACCCAGTGATTCTTTTTTTTTTTTTTTTTTTTTTTTCCCATTTCAAAGCCTTTCATAACCTTTCCTGACAAAGTGTTGTAGAAGCTAACTAATCCCTTTCTCAGCCACTAAGCCAGTAGGCTTTATCAGCCCAGGCAGCCATCAGCCATGGTTGTAGGTGTGGCTCAGGAAGATGATTGATTGTCCAGTCTTTTGTCGCTTTGGCTTAAATGTTTTATAAACATTTCTTTTCTTTTTCTTTTTCTTTTTCTTTTTTTTTTTTGAGACGGAGTTTCACTCTGTTGCCCAGGCTGGAGTGCAGTGGCACAATCTCCAAGCTCCGCCTCCCGGGTTCACGCCATTCTCCTGTCTCAGCCTCCCGAGTAGGTGGGACTACAGGCGCCCGCCACCACACCTGGATAATTTTTTGTATTTTTAGTAGAGACGGGGTTTCTCCGTGTTAGCCAGGATGGTCTCCGTCTCCTGATCTCGTGATCCACCCGCCTCGGCCTCCCAAAGTGCTGGGATTACAGACGTGAGCCACTGTGCCCGGCCTAAACATTTATTTTCTTATTGTTACCTCAGAGCAGGGCTGCCTGTGAGGTGGAGGGGATTGTGCCCTGGGAAAGTTGAACCTGGTCAGTTCTCTGCTTACCTGGGGCTTTATCATCGGGGTTGCCTCTGTCCAAAGAGGACATTTTTCTCTAATTTTCGTGAAGATATCAGACCAGTTACCCCCCATGACTCAAAGGATATGGTTTGTTTTTGTTGATCTTAGTTCTTAGGGCTATAAAAATGGGTTAGTTCCCTAACTTGAGTTTTCCCTTTTTTCAGGTTTTCTTACGGAAACTGGAAAAACCAGAGCCAGCACTATTTTTTCTACCGGAACTGAATCTGCCTTCCAAGTTACACAGATAAGAATTATGGTAATTTTCGTGCTACCTTCTTTAAGCAATGTTACTACTTTTGTTTTCAATTTTTATGGGTACATAGTAGGTATATATATTTGTGGGGTACATGAGGTGTTTTGATACAGGCATGCAATGTGAAATAATCATACAGAGGATGAGGATGAGCTATTCATCCCCTCAGGCATTTAGTCTTTGTGTTATAAACAATCCATTACACTGTTGTAGTTACTTTTCCATGTACAATTAGGTTATTATTGAATATTACCTTTTATTACATTTCAGAAGTCCACGTCATTGGTGTTTTGGTTTTTTTTTTTAAAGTCAGACCTATGGCTGACCATGTCATTGGTTATTCATTGAACATTTAATGATGATTTACTCTGTGTCAGGCCTGTAGCAGAGGGCAGGGACACAAAGATGGATAGACTGTAAAGTCTTTGAAATGGTGAGAATATAAGGATTGAGAAAGTTAAGGAACATTTCTTGGGAAACAGCTTTCTTATTTTTTGAGGGCTTAATATGTTTGAAATATTTTTCATTGGTCTCGTTTTGTTTTAACCTGTTTGAATTTAACCATGCTGGAAACAAAACGGCCACAGAACTTTTGCCCCTTTGATAGACTTCATCCTAATCTCTGTTTCCAGGTTCGACGTGGTGGCATTGGTGCCCAGTGTGGGTTGGTGTTTGCCTATAACTCATCTTCAGATAAATTTTGTGCGGAAGAACACTTCAAAAGGTTTGAAAAATATGACAAATGGAAGCTTCAGGAGCTCAGGCAATTTGTAAAAAGCAGGTAAGAAGGTAAAAAATCTTTGTAGAACAAAGATCTACAGAACAAAAATCTTTGTAGTTAATAAGAATGTATTCATGCTCATTGGTGAACTGTGCTTGCTTGTCTTTATAGAAAAGGCGCCACTAATCCATCTCAGTGGCCATAAGCCTTCATTGCTTTCTAGTAGCATATCTGAAGATGTGTATGTTAATTTGTTCATAGCATGTTACTCAGTCCCTTTTGTGGCCAGGGGCACACATCTTCACAATGGCTGGGTAATGATCTATCTATGCCTGAATTGTGGACAGCCTGCAGTCTTTAGCCATTGCCCCAACCCCCCTTCTCCCATTCCTGCTTTTAACACAAATACTTATTAAGTACCTACTGTGTGCCAGGCCTGATGCTAGGTGCTGAAGATACCGTAATGAGGAAATTGGCACAGTTCTTGCTTTATATAGCTTACTGTTTAGCTCAGAAGACAGGTAAGAAAACTTGCAGTATCAACAGTGTTATGAATGTGCTGTAGGGGAGAAAGGGCGCTGTGGGGACACAGGGCAGAGCGGCCCTCCTGATCAGAGACATCTTTCTGGAGCAAGTGTTGTTATGCTGTTTATGAAGGATGAGTTGGAGTTGATCGGCCACTGGAAGGAGAATGTCCTAAGCAGAGAGGGCAGCTTCATGGGCCCAGAGGTGAAGCATGGCACATTGAAGGAACGGGCAGGTCCCGCATTGCTGAGGGATACTCGGAGGGAGGGTGATGAGAGATGCAGCTGGAGAGCTGGGAAAGGGCAGGGCATTCAGGGCTTTGTCTCTGTTTCTGTATCCTTAAAGCATCATGTGAGGGGAAATGGCAGGGGAATGTGTTGAGGCATTTCCAGAAAAGCAGGGGGCTCAAATGCATGTTGTAGAAGCACTGGTCAGGATCATGTTGTGTGTAGTATGGACTGGAGGAGAGCAAGTCTGGAGGCAGCTGGGCTGGGAGGAGGTTGTCACTTATTGCCTAGGAAGCCAGTGGGTGACTCCTACTAGAGCAGCAGCAGCAGTGCAGAGATGTGGACCAAGAGACCACTAGGAGGGAGAAGCGACAGGACCTGGTGATTGACTGAATGTGGAGCAGGAGAGGGAAAAAAGCCTCATCGGCAGTGAATCCTGGCTTTTGGCTTGAGCAGGTGGGGAAATTGGTAGTGCCTTTCTTACTCTGGGGAAAAACAGGTTTGTGGGGAAGATGATGAGCTCAGATTTTGTTCTGTTGAATTTGAAGTTCTGAGAAACCTTTGAGGTGTTCGGTAGCCAATGGATAATCGGTAGCCAATGGATAAACAGGTCAGGAGCCAGGAAGAGAAGTTTGTGCTGAAGGTACAGATATGAGAGGCATTTAAACGATAATTTAAAATGTAGAAATAGGCCAAGTGTGGTGGCTCATGCATGTAATCCCAGCATTTTGGTAGGCCAAGATAGGTGGATTTTGAGCCCAGGGGATTGAGACCAGCCTGAGCAACATAGTGAGACCCCCATCTCTAAAAAAAAAAGAAAAACATAAAAATTAGCTGGCCATGGTATCACGCGCCTGTAGTCCCAGCTACTTGGAAGACTGAGGCGGGAGGATCCCTTGAGCCCCGGAGGTTGAGGCTGCAGTGAACTGTCTTCACGCCACTGCACTCCTGCCTGGGTGACAGAGTGAGATCCTGCCTCAAAAATAAATAAATAAAATGTAGAAGTGGAAGAGATCATTCTGCAAGAGTGTGTGAACTGGGAAGAGAAGAGAACTTAGGTCAACATGAGACACACCAGGCTTTAAGGGGCAACAAGGAAAACTCAGCCAGACAAGCAGCAGGAAAGCCAGGGCCTCATGAAGGAAAGCTGTGTCCCATGAAGCCAAGGGAAAATAATGTTTGAGGGAATGGGCGATGGTGTCAGATGTTACCCAGAAGTCAGAAGGTAAAGTCTAAAAGTGGATCTGTCGGATGTAGCCACTGGTGCCCCCTTGGATAAGGTTACCTCCCCTATTGCTACTAGTGAGTTAAAATTGAAGAAGCTAAGACAAGAAAAAAAAATACTCAAGGAGCTGAAACCCTGAACTTGCCTGCATTATTTCATGGGTAGTGGATTGCTGGTGTTAATAGAAGCCTTTCAGTACCATCCACTGCAGTACTCCTTGAGCTTTAGTGTGCATACACATCAGCCAGGGAATTTGTGAAAATGCACATTCTGATTCAGGAGCTCTGGGTGGGGTCTGAGACTGATTTCTTACAGGCTCTCGGGAGATTCTGATGCTACCTGTCTGTGGACCATACTTGAAATCGTAAGGATCTAGAATAATTCGAATAATTCGCTCTTCTTGCTGCAATTCCTTTAGCAGCATTCCTGGCAAAGGTTCGGTCAGCCTCTCTACAATACCGTTGATGGAAAACTCACCACGTATCAGGCACTTCAGTAATCAGAATTTGTTCAGTTGAAATCCACATTTGTAATGTCTCTTCAGTGGTCTTCGTTTCAGCCCTTTAATGAATTTGAACAAATGTCTTTCACTCCTAAAATCTCCCTTCCGTTACACGTGTATGCCTTTTTAAACACTGCTTTTCTTTTAAAGTAATAACTAGAGATGACACTGGGTTTTAGGCAGCTATGTCCTACTCTTGGGACAAATTAAAATGGGTCATTTCCCCTAAACCTGCTGTTAAACAAGGTCTTTTACATCTTATACAGGATGATTTTTTTTTAACCTAAATAGAGGCCTATTCACCACTCCCTTAATGATTTTAGCTCCTGATTCCAGCCTGAATGACTCTTAAATCGTGATTTTGTTGGCCTACATATTCACCAGTCCCTCTCCAGTTTGGAAATCAAAATATTAATGTGCATGCATTTTCTTTTTGCCTTTTTTTTTTTTTTGGTCATGTCCTCCTGGTCAGGCGTTCGTCAGTCAGCATGCTCCAGGGTCAGCAGTTGGTGCTGTGCCTACGTCAGAGGACTAGGATTCATCTGTCTTCCATCTTGCCTACTATGTAGTGCAGTGTAGGGAACAAGATTGCTTCTCTCTGTTCTCTGATACCCTGCCAGCTTTCTGTATCTCGAAGATTTCCTTGACAACTCCCAAAGAGTAGATTAAAAAATCTTTAAGCTTATGATATTGATGAAACTCATTGACATGGTTTTGGCTTAAGAGAATACCGTTTCCCATTAGGGTTAACTGTGTCATGAAAGGTTTATGCCAAGAAAGACTTATGTTAAGAAGGGACATTTTGCCGGGCACAGTGGCTCACACCTGTAATCCTAGCGCACTTTGGAAGGCCGAGGCGGGTGGATCACTTGAGGTCAGGACTTGAGGTCAGAAACCAGCCTGGCCAAGATGGTGAAACCCCATCTATACTAAAAATACAAAAAAATTAGCCAGGTGTGGTGGCAGGCACCTGTAATCCCAGCTGCTTGGGAAGCTGAGGCAGGTGAATCTTTTGAACCTGGGAGGTGGAGGTTGCAGTGAGCCAAGATTGTGCCACTGCATTGCAGCCTGGGCGACAGAGCAAGACTCCATCTCAAAAAAAAAAAAAAAAAGGGACATGTTTTCTCTCTGTTACAGAACCTACTCGGGATTGTCTTCTTGCCATAATTCCCTCTTTTTGGTAGTTTTACCTATATAAAATACTAATGTGTCGCCAGCTTGGTGGCTATATATCACAGACTGAATAGTGTAAAGTTTTAGGAATGTTACTTGAAAAAACTGCTCTTTTTCTCCTTCTTATTTATTTATATTATTTTTATTATTTTTTTTTTTTTTGAGGTGGAGTTTCGCTCTTGTTGCCCAGGCTGGAGTGCAGTGGCACGATCTTGGCTCACCGCAACCTCCGCCTCCTGGGTTCAAGCAATTCCCCTGCCTGAGCCTCCCGAGTAGCTGGGATTACAGGCATGCACCACCACGCCTGGCTAATTTTGTATTTTTAGTAGAGACAGAGTTTCTTAATGTTGGTCAGGCTGGTCTCGAATTCCTGACCTCAGGTGCTCTGCCTGCCTCAGCCTCCCAAAGTGCTGGGATTACAGGTGTGAGCCACCGTGCCCGGCCTTATTTTTATATTTTTTTGAGATGGAGCCTTGCTCTGTCACCCAGGCTGGAGTGCAATGGCGTGATCTCAGTTCACTGCAACCTCCACCTCTTGGGTTCAAGTGATTCCCCTGCCTCAGCCTCCTGAGTAGCTGAGATTACAGGTGTGCACCACCACGCCTGGCTAATTTTTTGTATGTTTAGTAGAGACAGGGTTCGCCATGTTTACCAGGCTGGTCTCAAACTCCTGACCTCAAGTGATCCATCCACCTCAACCTCCTAAAGTGCTTATAGGTGTGAGCCATCGTGCCCAGCACATCTTAGTTACTTAATTCCTGAAAAGGGAGTAGCATTTAAGTGTTCAGCTTTTAAAAAGAAGTGGCATACATTCTCTTAAAAAGAAGAGAAGACATCTCTTCAGCCTCAAGGCTGGAATGTTTTTCTGAAAGAACTTCTTAAGAAACAGACAAGAATACTGAGGCCTACGAAGGCTGGGGTTTTTGTTTTTTTGGACCTCCAGGATCTGAAAGCCCTCAGATGTTTACCCATCAGCTATTGCAAGTGGCCCAAACCTCAGGTTGGTCATAAACATGTTAGCCAGACCTAGGGAAAGAAAACCAAGCCTGCCTCTTTTCTGGCACTTTCCAGAAGCACATGCCAGCTGTTGCATTGGACCTTACTCCTGAGTCATCCACAATGCCCGACTTTCTGTCTCATTCTTCAGATGAGCCAATTAGAGAAGCAAACTTTCTCCTTAGTTCCCAGATTATATTTCCCAGTTCATAGAGAAGGAGACTGAGCAATGGAAAGGCAATACTACCAACTGTCTCATGTGCTCACAGGGTACCATGTACCATAGTCAGCTCTCGATTGTTCACTGACAGGCTACAGATACAAGTTACATGTCACTTAGATGATACCTTATTTGTTAGACCCTTGAGAAGTTTCAAAATAAAATGTTTTGTGAATACTCTTGTCTTTACAGGATTGGTTGCTCATCTGATGACCTTGGAGAGGATGATCCTATTGGCTGGTTTGAACTGGAAGAAGAATGGGATGAAGCAGATGTGAAGCTGCAACAGTGCAGAGTTGCCAAAGTAAGCATTAGTGCGTCGTTTGCCCACTCCCCTCCTTTTATTCTGTGTTTTTTGAGTAGTGATTGTGTATCAGCCCTGTGCCAATGCTACAACCCCAGAGGCGAATCTACCTTCAGGGAGTTCATACTCTGTGGGAGAGACAGATGTGTAAGACAGTGTGATACGAGCTGTGATAAAAGGAGAGACAGAGAGCTGTTGGCAACCAGGGGAAAAATATGTAACTCGAAAGCTTCTCAGGAAGGGTGGTGTGATGTCAAATGTTGAAGATTAAGTTGTCATCCTTAGCCAGGCTACAGTGTGTGGAGGAGGGCGTCTCAGGCTGAGAGAATAGTTGAGAACACAGCATCCTTAGCCAGGCTACAGTGTGTGGAGGAGGGCACCTCAGGCTGAGAGAATAGTGAGAACACAGCATCCTTAGCCAGGCTACAGTGTGTGGAGGAGGGCGCCTCAGGCTGAGAGAATAGTGAGAACACAGCATCCTTAGCCAGGCTGCAGTGTGTGGAGGAGGGCGTCTCAGGCTGAGAGAATAGTTGAGAACACAGCATCCTTAGCCAGGCTACAGTGTGTGGAGGAGGGCGTCTCAGGCTGACAGAATAGTTGAGAACACAGCATCCTTAGCCAGGCTGCAGTGTGTGGAGGAGGGCGTCTCAGGCTGAGAGAATAGTTGAGAACACAGCATCCTTAGCCAGGCTGCAGTGTGTGGAGGAGGGCGTCTCAGGCTGAGAGAATAGTTGAGAACACAGCATCCTTAGCCAGGCTGCAGTGTGTGGAGGAGGGCGTCTCAGGCTGAGAGAATAGTTGAGAACACAGCATCCTTAGCCAGGCTGCAGTGTGTGGAGGAGGGCGTCTCAGGCTGAGAGAATAGTTGAGAACACAGCATCCTTAGCCAGGCTGCAGTGTGTGGAGGAGGGCGTCTCAGGCTGAGAGAATAGTTGAGAACACAGCATCCTTAGCCAGGCTACAGTGTGTGGAGGAGGGCGCCTCAGGCTGAGAGAATAGTGAGAACACAGCATCCTTAGCCAGGCTACAGTGTGTGGAGGAGGGCGCCTCAGGCTGAGAGAATAGTGAGAACACAGCATCCTTAGCCATGCTACAGTGTGTGGAGGAGGGCACCTCAGGCTGAGAGAATAGTGAGAACACAGGCATCAACTCAAGAGAGGTGTCTTTCCATAGAAAGGACCAATCATTATTTGGCTGCTTAATTTTTTGCTAAACCTTGGATGTAAATCTCAGGCTTAAATAAGTAATTAGGAACTCTCTTAAGGGCACGTAATAGTAGGTGCTCGGTAAATATTTACGCAGTTGAGTAGTGTATTCTGAAAGGCCCTTAACAAAGAGCGCTCACCATAAGAAGCAGGTAGTTTGCATGAAAGTTGGGTTTGGAAAATGGCCCTAGATTTGAGTAGACAGGACTGTTTTCCTGGGTTTCTAGCTTAGGGGTTGCCTATATCACTTGGGGGCTTTGAGGTGGAGGGCATTGACTGTTTTCGTCTTATATCTGATTTCTGTTTCAAAATGACTGCCACAGAGCAAATGTACTTTTCTTCATCCTCTATTCTGGTTTTTGCCTCCAAGAGGGAGTAATGATGCAATTTTCCTTACTGTAATCTACCCAAACCTGACTTTATTCAACATTTGTATTGTCTTTTTTTTCTCTGTACTGTAAATGCTGGACTTATATTTTGTGTCCCTAGTGCTGAGCATAATGTTTCCTAATAAATTACGAAAATCATAGGAAGACCTTCCCGGAAAGGCCTTTTTCCCTCTTTAATCAATATTCAGGGATTCTGAGTTCTTCTATTGAAATCTCTCTTGTCCTGTCCAGTATTTGATGGTGAAGTTCCTCTGCACCCGTCAGGAGTCAGCAGAGCGCTTGGGAGTGCAAGGCTTGACCATCAGTGGGTACCTCCGGCCTGCAAGAGCAGAAGCAGAACAGAGCGTCACCTGTGCACACTGCAGAAAGGACACAGAGGAGAGTGTCTGTGGGGCCACGTTGCTCCTCAGGACCCTTCAGTTTATCCAGCAGCTCGCCCATGACCTGGTAGGGCTTCCTCAGTTGTTAGACGGCATTCCTTTAGGAAAAGTGAATGACAGTATTCAGAGAAATGAACACCAACTGATAAAACCTGCCCCTGCGGAAGCCAATAGGATGGGCATTGTACTGCTGCAGGGACATGAAAAGCTGAGGAAAGTGAGCTGTTGGGCATTCATGGCATGAGTCAGGGAAGTGGCCTGTGAGTCAGTGAGTGGCCTGTGGCCATCATTGTGGCTTCTCCCGGAGTAGACCTACAGACACATCTTCAAGAGCCCTGGCCGTGGCTGCCATGGGGAAACAAACAGAACAGAGTTCATGGGATTTGCATCTTCTTTAAGTCCTAGAAGAATTATAACTGAGGTCTAGGTGAATTTTCATTATTTACTGAAAATACGAAAATAATGGCAGGATTTCGAATCAAAAATGATTTTTTGATTTCTAACTTTTTTGATACTGACTCTTACAGTCAGTAATATAACACAGTGACAACTCACTCAAAGGAAGATTCTTACAGCCATCACCATAGCCTCGGGAGTTCAGTGGGTGGAGCCCTCGCATGTGTAGTGTATAGCAGTGTCCACTCTTGATCCCCATTCTGCTTCAGGGCACATTCAGAGGCTGGTGACTCAGTTCATATAAGGTTTGTTTGGTCTTCGTTATTCAGACCTCCTATCACAGTAGAAAAGAGCAAATAAGAAGGAGAAGCCTGGAAATAACAGGCATGCTTACGGAAGGATTGATACCTTTCAGTCCATGCACGGGGAAGGCGTCAGTATATTGTAGTACAGTCCTGGACAGTGATCATCCAGGAAAGACTGGCTTATGTGCTGGGTTAGGAAGTCAGGAGCGTTCATGGATGTGTGTGTGTGTGTGTGTGTGTGTGTGTGTGTGTGTGTGTGTTGTGTGTATATATCTATATACACTTACATACATACATACATATAACACACACATATATTTTAGAAAGTTTCAAACCAAAAATAGTTGTTGGCAAACCTTTTTGTAGTTAAGAGTAAGCATCAGTAATATGAAAGTCTCACTCATGTAGAGCCACCTCATCCCTTTACAATTAGAAGTAAATGAGGCATTACAGTATTTCTCTAAATGCATTTTTCAGTTTTATTTATTCTGATCTTTATAATTTTTTAGGTGCAGCAGAAGGAAAGTGGCTTAAAATATAAATCTTTTCTGGACTTCGCGGGTCTTGATTTGCAGATCTTCTGGAATTTTTACAGTAAATTAAAGCAAAAGTAGGTCAGAATTTGTTATAAGGTGATAAGCACATAAACTGAAAACAATGAGTTTTACTATTCTAAGTGGATTTTTTTCCTAATTTTTTTTTTACTTCCTACCAGTGTTTATGGTTCGATTTAAAATATATGGTTATTATTGAAAATAACACCTCAGATTTCTATAAAATATTTAGGCAGTAGTAAGCAGGTCAAGGATTACAGTACTGTCCTCATTTTACAGATGAAAAAGTAGGATCAGAAATGAACTTCCTGCCTGGGCGCGGTGGCTCACGCCTGTAATCCCAGCACTTTGGGAGGCTGAGGCGGGTGGATCACAAGGTCAGGAGTTCGAGACCAGCCTGGCCAATATGGTGAAACCCCGTCTCTACTAAAAATACAAAAATTAGCTGGGTGTGGTGGTGGGCACCTGTAATCTCAGCTACTTGGGAGGCTGAGGCGGAAGAATTGCTTGAACCTGGGAGGCTGAGATGCAGTGAGCTGAGATCACACCACTGCACTCCAGCCTGGGAGACAGAGTGAGACTCGGTCTCAACAACAACAACAAAAAGAAATGAACTTCCTTCCCCACAGTGGGCAGAGTCAGATGGGATCTGTTTCCAGACATTTAGTACAGTGTTCTTTCTGGTCCACCCTTCTTCCTCTCAGTTTGCATCAGTTGGCATTATTTTCATCGAGCCTGATGCCTAGAGGAAAGTCCTTTGTAGACAGCTATATGGCTTTGGAGAGTAAATGCAACTTGCCCTTTTGCTCTCTGATGTTTTTTGTCTTTCTGTAGCCCGAGGGAAGAATGCGTCTCTGCCCAAACCCTGCTTCTGCAGCTACTCCAGAGCTGCTTCTCTGTGCTGCAGGGAGATGTACTGGCTGCTTCTGAGGAGGAAAAGGCTCCAATCCAAAGCCCTAAAGGAGTAGAGGCTGCCAAGGAGCTGTACACACACTTGTGTGATGGTAGGGATTTGGGTTTTCTCTTTAATACAACCCTGTGTAGGTAGCGTGAAGGGCCTCTTGCTATAGAGAAGAGGGCTGTCCTACGATGATGCGAGCCAGAAAGGGATTGCCGCTGTGGGAATCCCCCAGAAAGGGATTGCCGCTGTGGGAATCCCCCAGAAAGGGATTGCCGCTGTGGGAATCCCCCAGAAAGGGATTGCCGCTGTGGGAAACGAGTGTTTCCCCTGATGCTCTTTTGAGCTACTAGTTTGAGTTCAGGATTTATTCCTTCCTCAGCTGACTTCTCTTCCTCCTGGTTTCAGATCTATAGCTGTGTTATGTTGAGAGTCATTACTATCATACTGTTGAGCCTTAACTTCAACTAAGTCACTCAGATGAGGCTGATAGATTGAGGGGGAGTGAAACACGTGGGCTTCTGAAGTTTTATTTAAGGCTTTGCCAAGTTGTGTCTCAAAAGGACAGGGAAGTAATGACATAAAAACTGATACATACGGTCTTTGTTTTAGTTAAATGAAAGCAAATAAAAAATATTTTTTTATACTGCCTGGCCTGTACAGAAATACTTCTTCACTCTGGTATTAAGTACAAAATGGAGAGTAGTGAATTTATAGGCTAGTTATAGCAGATGTATAAGCGAATAGATGGAATATATGAAAGCTGATGCCATTGTTCATTTTATCAGTGGTGGACAAGGTGGATGGAGACTCTGTGCCCATGGAGATACTAAAACAAGAAGTCAGGAATACCCTTCTCAATGGGGCTGCCATCTTCTTTCCTAATCGACAGACCCGACGGAACCATCTCTTCACCATGATGGTAATTATTACTAAAAGTCTGGATTCAATGTCTGAAGTCTGTGAGGATGAAATTTGCTAGGCTTTGTTACCTCTGAATATATCGTCTGTTGCAACGTCCCAGATGTGTATTAATATTATATGCAGAGCTTTGTGTGGGACAGATATCTAAGGACATGGCACTCCACTCAGAGTGGGATGACACGTATTCCCAATCTGTGTTTCATGATCGGATGTCTCACAAAGTGACAGTGTAGTCTCCTTCATCTTTGTGACTTGCCTACAACCATCCTTTCTTTTCCACATTTTACCTTTGTATTATAGGCAAATTCAAAACAAATACCAAAGCTAACTAAATAGTATAGTGAATGCCCCTGTCCCCCAAATGTACCTGTCACCTAGCTTCAACAGTCATAAATTCACGCTAATCTTGTTTTACCTACAGTGTACCTCACCCCCCTTTCCTCCTTTCCCCACTGACCATTATTATTTCAAGGTAACTTCCTGACATTTGATTCATAAATATTTCAGTATATATCTGTAAAACTAATACCACCAAGTTTTTTTGTTTGTTTGTTTTTAGATAGGTTCTTGTTCTGTTGCCCAGGCTGGAGTGCAGTGGTGCAATCACAACTCACTGCATTCTCTATCTCCCAGGCTCAAGCAATCCTCCCACCTCAGCCTCCCAAGTAGCTGGGACTACTGGTGCATGCCACCACGCCTGGCTAATTTTTGTATTTTTTGTAGAGATGAGTTTTGCCATATTGCCCAGGCTGGTCTCGAAGCCCAAGGCTCAAGTGATTGGCCCACCTCAGCCTCCCAAAGTGCTGGGATTACAGGCGTGAGCCACTTGCCAGGCCAGTATCACCAAGTTTTATTCCTTAAATGGTTCTTGTCACTCTCCTAGACCACTTCTTCGTGTTCCTCAGACATTAGTAGCTGGGGTGAAAAATGCTTTTAGTATCTATAAGCACTGTGTTACCAAATGGAATATTCTATACAAAGATCCAGGTTTTTATTTCTGAAGGAAGTATTTCTGTATGAAAATGAGTATGATACATGAAAAAATGTAAAACAAAACAAAACTTTTTCTCTCTAGGCCATATCAAAAACACCTAGGTAGAGGAACTTCACAGGTTCCTGTGTTACAATGATGGTAAAACACAGGGAAGTGTAAGTATACCAAGGGGACAAATTAGAGAAATGTGTACAAGACAGCAAAATTATAGGCCACTCTTACTTATGAACATAGTTAGAAGAACCCTAATGAAATATTAATTAACCAGTGCAACAACATATAAACAAAATTATGGCCAAGTTGGATTTATGCTGGAAATCCAGTGATGGTTCAGCAGTAGAAAATATGTAAATGGAATCAGAGAGGAAAAAAAAAAATCACTAAATGCAGAAAATATTTTAATAAGATTAAATTCTGATGATTAAAACAATGAAACAATATGTTTTCATTAGCAAACTCAAAATAGAAACTCCTTCAATCTGGTAGAGGGCATGTATCGAAAACCCACAATAAGCAATGTATTTGATGGATCACTAGAAGCATTCCTCTCAAAATGCGGAATAAGACAAGGATGCTTACTGTCGTTGCTTCTCTTTGATGTTGCATTGGAGGGCCTAGCTAGTGCTGTAGGACAAGGGAAAGAAGTGTTAAAAATAATAGAATAAAACAAATATTTATTTGTTTTGATATGATTATAGATTACTTTTTATTGTCTGTGTAGTCAAGCAACTAATAGAATTATTTAAAAGAATTTGACAAAGGAAACTAGATACAGCATTTTAAAAAGGCGTTTCTAATGCAACAGCCAATGAGCAGACATAAGAAAAGTGGTCTATGGGATGCACAAAGGCCTATAGAAATAAGGGAGGGAAGCCGGGCGTGGTGGCACATGCCTGTAGTCCCAGCTACTCGGGAGGTCGAAGCAGGAGAATTGCTTGAACCCGAGAGGCAGAGGTTGTGGTGAGCGGAGATCACGCCACTGCACTTCACCCTGGGCAACAGAGCGAGATTCCGTCTCAAAAAAAAAAAAAAAAAAGGAACAAAAGCATAAAATGTGGTCCCTGATGACAAAGGGCAGCAGCAGCAGTCTAATTGGGGACACCTGCCGCAAGGAAAAACTTATTCCATATGCAAGAGGAGAATCATGTTGAGGCTAAGTGATTGAGGAAGGTTTCAGAGAAGAGGAAGGATATTTGTTTGTGTAATTCCAGCTATATATAAAATTTGCATATCAGCCTGAGGAATCACTTCTCACATTGTGAGTTACATAACCTTTGACAGCATCAGCTGACCTGAGCCACTGGACTGTGGGTGGGTCTCTATCCTACTTGTTTGGTGCAAGTGTTTACCAGGTAGCTGAGCAAATGATTAATTTCCAAGCATGTGTCCTACACAGAAAGTAGAAACAGGACGCATGACGTTTTGAATGACATTGGTGTCTTCTCATGCTGAGAAGTTAAATAGCACTGCCAACCTTCTGTATAGTGCTGAGCGATTCTCTCTCCATCAGGTGCCTCCTCAGTATCTTCGGATACCATACCCTTAAGAGCTGTGATTGCTCTTGAGATGGCTTGTCCAATGGCAAAAAGTATATTATCAGCTGGGTGCGGTGGCTCACGCCTGTAATCCCAGCACTTTGGGAGGCAGAGGTGGGTGGATCACCTGAGGTCAGGAGTTCAAGAGCAGCCTGGCCAACATGGTGAAACCCCGTCTCTACTAAAAATACAAAAATTAGCCAGGCGTGGTAGTGGGCTCCTGTAATCCTAGATGCTTGGGAGGCTGAGGCAGGAGAATTGCTTGAACGCGGAAGGCAGAAGTTGTAGTGAGCTGAGATCGCGCCATTGCACTCCAGCCCAGGCAACAAGAGCGAAATTCCGTCTCAAAAAAAAAGTATATCTCTTTATGAGGTCATTTCCCTAAGCAGGAAACTTGAACCTTCTGTTGACTTTGGCAGTGAACCAAGTGCACCTACCACCTTGTATTTAGATGGTTGGTTCTGCTCCATCTTAGTACTTGAGCGGGTTTTAGTGGGGTGCTGTGAGGTAGTCTGCTGGCCTGGCATTCCTCATACTTGAGAACAGTGGGGTGGTGATGTTTCATTGCCGCTCTAGGTCTCTGGAATGTCATGGACTAGATTTTCTGAATATACAATTTCTGGTTTTCTAGAAGAATGTCACCGAGCAGGAGCACAAGCAGTCCCTGCAGCTCACTTTCCGTTCACTGTGCACGTATTTTAGGTAAGCTGATCGTTCTTTTTAATTGTCGGATAACTCAAATCTTTGCAAAGTTGTTTTCTTGAGCTTGCCCTTCCTTTCATGTGCCTTCGAAGTAGTACTTCCTGCCACTCAGTTAGAAAGCCGAGTTTCTGTGGGTGACCCAAATAGTGGTAAAATAATAATCTTGTTGACAGCCCAATCCAGTTCCCATCCATTTTAAGACAATTTCAGATTGAGCCCGTTGAGGGTCTTTTTGAACACTTCAGTTTCCAAGTAATGTTTAACAACAAAAACTGAAGCCAAAGGAATGTAGGGTCTTGTATTCGTGTCACGTTAAAACCAGCTACAGAAGCCCAGAATGATAGTTTGTGGAAGGAAGTGTGCTGGGAGGGGAGGTCTTCGAGATTTTTGCCTGTTTCAACTACCAGAGAAGCTAAATGGGCCTACAGGCTTCATTACTAGAAGTATTGACTCTTGAAGGAGGAAGGGAACTAATATCCTTAGCGACTGCCTGCAAGTCAGACTATACCTGGTATGGATGCCAGACTTAGAGGGCTGTCTGTTTAAAATGTGCTCAGAATCAAGTAGCAAGGATGCTGAAAGGGCCTGGGGCCGTCCTGTGAAGACATGTGAAGACACAAGGAACGTTTAGCCAGGACTTTGAAGCTAGCAGTCGTGAGATGAGGTGTATTTCATATTGGTGGCCAAGGTGATTTATTCATCAGCCTTCTACCTCAGGGTCTCATCCAGGACTGGAGGATTTGTGAGTCTGTGCTAATGGAAGCACATGTGGACAGACAGCGGCACAGCCCCAGCTGGGTCCACAGCCTGTATTCCTGACCCAAACTCCTCCCATCCCATGGAAATGACACTGAAACCTTTCTGCGCTCTGTTTTGGAATCTTTTAAAATAGTATAAAAATCTTTCTCCTGAAGCCAGGTGTCATGACTAATTTGTATCCTTTCAGTGACAAGGATCCAGGCGGCCTTCTTCTTTTACCTGAGAAGAACGACCTGGCCAAGATGAACATCAGTGAAGTCCTGGCGGTCATGGACACTCTCGTCTCTGTTGCTGCTCGAGAGGTATCCAGTGGCTGCCTCCCTGTTTTCTTTGTCTCATGCTTGTGGGGGCACGTGATGTGGCAGTCTCTTGTGCCCCCCTTTGCCTCTTTGCAGTATGAATGTACTTTGTTGTGGTTTTTTCTGTTGTTGTTGTTGTTTTGAGATAGGGTCTTGCTCTGTCACCCGGGCTGGGGTGCAGTGGCACAATCACAGCTCACTGCAGCTTCCCCATCCCAGGCCCAAGCAGTCCTCCCACCTCAGTCTCCCAAGTAGCTGGGACACAGGCACACGCCACCACGCCCAGCTAATTTTTAAATTATTTGTAGAGATGGAGTCTCTCTTATGTTGCCCAGGCTGGTCTTGAACTCCTGGAATCAAGAAATCCTCCCACTTTGGCCTCCCAAAGTGTTGGGATTATAGGTGTGAGCCACTCTGCCTGGCATGAATGTACTTTGTTACTTGACTCTTACAAATGATCACAAAGGTTTCCCAGCCAGCCCTTGCAAACGAGTGAGGGCATGTTACGGTTCTTGGTAGTCAGCAAACGATAAAAACACAGAAGTGCTCGATAATGCTTCCTGTGGAAAAAGAGGAATGGATTTATATCAAGTCCCCTTGTAGTGGTTGTCAGTGAGCCCAACACACAGATATGTGTTAGTGGTGTGAATTTTCAGGAAAACTACTTGGACTTTAAAAAAGAAATTCAGGACCGGTCACAGTGGCTCATGCCTGTAATCCCAGCACTTTGGGAGGCCAAGGTGGGCGGATCACCTGAGGTCGGGAGTTCAAGACCAGCCTGACTAACATGGAGAAATACAAAAATACAAAATTAGCTGAGCTAATTTAATTTTTAATTAAAAATTAGTTCCCTTTCTACTAAAAATATAAAATTAGCTGGGCGTGGTGGCACATGCCTGTAATCCCAGCTACTCGGGAGGCTGAGGCAGGAGAATCGCTTGAACCTGGGAGGCGGAGGTTGTAGTGAGCCAAGATCGCGCCATAGCACTCCAGCCTGGGCAACGAGCGAAACTCTGTCTCAAAACAAACAAACAAACAAACAAAAAACAAAAAAAAAATTCAGATTTCTTAGCAATTTCGTGGACTAATCAAATCTGAAAGTATATTATCTTTTTTCTGTGTTAGTGATTTTTTAAATTTGCCTTTTTTAAAAAATATAAGGGATTTTCTTTCTTAAAATGTAGTTTATGCTCCAAGTGGATCAGTCACTTGGGATATTTGACAGAAAAAAGATTTCTAGATCCCACCCTAAGCTACTGATTCAAGATCTCTAGGGATAGGGCTTAAGAACCTGCATTTTTCTAAGCACCCCGAGAGATTCTAAAGTGATAGCACCCCTGTACTAGGAAACCAAGAACTATCTCTTTGGGCTAAATATGGGAACCAGAGAGCTGGAGGAGATTTTGTGGTAGACTAGTCCAAACCACATCTTTGAGGTATCTAATGATGTGGACTTGAAGGTAACTTTTCTTTTGTGGCTGATAACTTATCTTGTATCTTTTGACTGAACTTAGTGTCTTTAAATCTCTTACATTTTTGCGGGTGCCTTACTGTTTTGAGTTGCTGTTAGAGCCATGATTTCATTCATTCCCAGCTGCCTGGCATGATAGGCCATCAGCAGGTGTCTCCCCCAATTCACTGATGGGGACCTCAGAGCACCTGTAGGGTGCCTAGGTTATCATTTGCCAAGGTTGCTCTTAGGCTGACCACTGTTTAGATCTAGTATTAATTTAGATCTAGGGTAACGTTGACTTTATAAGCCTCAACTTTGTTTTTAATTAAAAAACTATGCTCTATTTTTTGCTGTCACATTAATTTTCTCTTACTTTCTGCTTTCTGGCTTATTTCCAGACTCTTCTGCCCATCTCTGAGTCTTCCTTAAAAAACTCACTTCAGTCTCATCAGTATGTGTTCTCGGCCCCAGTTAGCCATGGCTCATTCGAATCTCCATCCTTATTTCTGCATTTCCCATACCTTCCCTTTCTTCTGGAGCTCATCTACATTCTACCTGTTTCTCAGATCCCTGAAGCCTGAACTGAGTTCTCCCCCTCACCAGTCTTTCTTCTGTTGTTACATCATCAGTGCCATTGGGCAGAAAACTTCAGCGTTCTCACCTGGTTCTCATAGGAGTCGATTCTGCCCCGCACGTGAGGAGTGGGTAGGTGCTAGAGCCAGGACTGAAACCGGGGCTGTTTGACTCAGAGCCTTGTCCTCTTTCTGCTAGATAAGATAGGCCAGATTTATTTTAAGATGTACGTGGAGAAATGAGATAGCATTTTGCCCAAGAGAATTTCGCATAATTGTATATACCATTTGGAGATCAGTTGTGTGTCTTTTCTTCTCTTTCACTTACCTGTGGTACAAAAGAAGTTACAGATATCATTAAACCTCCTTGCTAGAGATGCAGCTATTAATGTGTTTCCCTGAATTATCTTTTAGTAAAAGACATTTATGGTTATACTAAAGAGTTAGGGTTCAATCAGGAAAAAAAATTAAAGGTGATCAGAAATGTACCTGGTCTGAAATTTTTCTCAGGAATCTATCAAATTCAACAAATATCCACTGAATGCCTGCTGTGTGTTAGGCCCTGTGCTAGGAACAGGGGATACAGTGATTTTAAAAAAGCACAGTCTTGAGGAGCAAATATGTCATCAGGTAGTTGCAACAATGTGGCAAGTGTCTCTTTTAAGGACTAGACATTCCCAGTATCTTTGAGTCCATTTCCCTCCATCCACATGCCTTTTCATGGCTCACTCTCTTCCTGCCTTGCCAGGCGTAACCATCATCCCGAAGCTTGTGTTCACCATTTCCTTGTTCTTCTTTCTACTTACTCCTACCCAGCACATCTGTATTGCCTGGGTTGTACCTGTAATGGAATCATATAGTGTACAATCTTCCGTATCTGGAGGTCAGATAACCCTTCAAAGAAACTTTTGAGAACAAAGGTGATGGTTAGAGAGCCATGGAGGCATGAATAATGATTTTTTTAAGGTGGGAGAGGTTTGATTAAAGGCTTGAGGGAAGGAGCCAGAGAAAGGACATTTTAAGATGTAAGAGAAAGAAGAGATACCCAGGGGGGTAAGGTTCCTGAGGTGGTAGAAGGAGATGTCATGTGGAATAAAAAACCTTTGTAAAGGTTCCAAAAAGCTGGAGGGAAAGGGGAGTTTTCGTAATACCATCTTTCTTGGTGACTGCTGGGTTGAAAGCTGTTTCATGACTTTTCCGTGGCTATAGTTTGTTTTTGCTGGTGACAGCTGCTGCTTTAGAGGATGCCCTTGGCTATGCTCTGTGAATGGCCTTGTCACGAACACTTTCTGTTTGTCTCCTCCCTTGTAGTGCGAGCTGTTAATGCTCAGTGGGGCCCCAGGGGAGGTGGGCTCTGTGCTCTTCTCCCTGTTCTGGTCCGTCCAAGGCAGCCTGCTATCCTGGTGCTACCTGCAGCTGAAGAGCACGGACTCTGGAGCCAAAGATCTTGCCGTGGACCTTATTGAAAAATGTGAGTTTCAATATAAAATCCATGAAAACAGATGGCGTTTGGGTTTTGACTCTGAGTGTTCTCTTCTTTAGTAACTCATGCAATGAGTGTGCATATGGCTTTCTTCATTACGATTCAGATTCTTGGACTGGTTTGGTCTAATTAAAATAGAATTCAACAGCATGTCTTTTTGTCTAGAGTTTACTCTCTGAGTGTGGTGGTATGCCTAAGTATTTTTATTGTAGAATTAGATCATTTCACAGCCTAAATATTGCTTTTGCAATCATATAGCACTCTTACGTGATGTCTCGCTCTTCAGGAGAGTCTATCCCTGTTTTAATCAAGTCATCTAAAAATGAAAGTCTTGAATTTTAGAAATCTAAGGTGTATGAGCATTGTGACCATTGCTGATTACCGAGAATAATTAGATTCATGTTCTGTAAACTCACAGAAAATTATATGAAACCCAACGGGTGCTGACAAATTATACGTGGAAAATGTAGTTCCATCAAACTTGGTCCCAGCAGCTGTGACGAAAACACTTATATTGGGTCCTGCCACCTAGAGCTTGGCCTGTTAGATTGGTACACCTAATGCACGGGCTCATTGTAAACAGAAGGAAAAGGAGAGGCTGACAGCTGGGTTAGTCAGGCATGGAATTTCACTTCTACAAGTGCTCCTCTACTTCATCAAAAGACAAAAAAAAATCCCTTTAAAAGTGAGTCTTGTACTGAAATTCGCACTGCTTCTTCCTCCAGGAGGAATGCATTAGGACGGCACTTGCTGGCCTTGTGGTCTTCGCTGTGGAACCCCCTCTGCAGCTTCTGGAGTCTCTTTATTCTTGTCTGTGGTGATAACCAAGCATGTGACATTTCTACTATATAATATATTAATTATTTTCTTTGTTTCGGTAGATGTGGGCCAGTTTCTGGCAAGCATGAGAGCGATTTTGGAATCCCTTTTCTCACAGTACAGTGGAAAAACCATAGTAGAAAGATTATGTAACTCAGTGTTTTCAATGGCAGCTCGTCAACTGGTAAGAAAAACTAGCAGCTATTTGTAAAGAACCGGAAGGGGGTTGGGGGTCTGCATCCCCAGGCCCAGCCTAAGGTGGACGCTGAGTGCTTCATCCATCTTCCATTAGGTTATCTTCCTGCTGGACTTCTGCACTTTAGACATCCCACACTGCGTGCTCTTGAGAGAGTTCAGCGTCCTCACAGAACTCCTGAAGAAGCTCTGTAGTGGCCCCGAAGGAGGACTGAGGAAGGTAACTCGAGTCAGCACTTGAGCCGCCCCGTGTTCTCTCTCAGGAGTGATGGGACACACTTAGTGAAGTGGACCACGGACTGCAGATAGGCACAGCTGAGCAGCCTCTAGAAGGCTCCCTTGATTTTATCAGTGGGCTTGCCAACAAGGGTGAATGTCAGTCCAAGTCGATGTGGCCTGGTCAGCATTAGAAAGGAGACGCAGAGGCCGGGCGCAGTGGCTCACGCTTGTAATCCCAGCACTTTGGGAGGCCGAGGCGGGCGGATCACGAGGTCAGGAGATCGAGACCATCCTGGCTAACACGGTGAAACCCCGTCTCTACTAAAAATACAAAAAAAATTAGCCGGGCGTGATGGTGGGCGCCTGTAGTCCCAGCTACTCGGGAGGCTGAGGCAGGAGAATGGCGTGAACCCGGGAGGCGGAGCTTGCAGTGAGCCGAGATTGCGCCACTGCACTCCCGCCTGGGCCACAGAGCGAGACTCCGTCTCAAAAAAAAAAAAGAAAGGAGACGCAGAAAAAGCTGTAGAGATGAATCTCATCATTTTATAGTTGATGAAGTTATATAAAAACCATGTAAGTGAGTGACAAAATTGAAGTCTAGAAGAGAAAATGTATGTTGAAAGGCAAATTACATTTTGTCTTTAGAAGAAATTTCTCCCTTACTTAATTATACATACATAACGTTTAATCACTGTCTTGTGTGAGCTTCTTCTTGTGTGTCTTTTGTGTGCCACAGAGCACAACTCTGTGGCAGTAGAAAAGGCATTTATATTTAACAGGTAAAAAACCAAAGGCCCCCCCCCAACCCCCCGCTCAAAAGAAAAGGGTAGGAGAGGAAGGGAGAGTAGATCCAGATTTGCCAGTGTCCCAGGTAGGAATGTGAGGTCTTTAAACTCCTCATTCAGTACTTTTTCCACTGGGAATTCACACTGGTAATGATTTGTAAGTAGTTCTGTCATAGCGAAAAGGTACAAGCTGGTCATGGAGTTTTTGTGTGTAATAAAAGCACATCTCCTCGGCTGCGTGGTGGACGTGTGTTGATCTGTGTGAAGATGGGAATGTCAGGTTTGTCTTCGAGCCTGCCTGCTGGTTTGTGCAGGGCTGTCAAGGCCATCTGCCTGGAGCACTGATAGAGAAACAGTCTGCTGCATGTGGCTAGGTGTCTAGTGATAGAACCTTTCTTTCCCCTGGCTCATTTGTTATCATAGCTGGATGTTGAGACCTGGCAACAGGAACAGCCTGTGGTGTTACATACGTGGACGAAGGAATCTGCCCACAACTATGAAAATAATTGCCATGAGGTATCCGTCTTTGTTAGCCCAGGGGCAACCTATTTTGAAGTGGAATTCGATGACAGGTGTGAAACTGAAAAAAGGTAAGACTTCTATATTCTTTCACCCCCAAGCGCTAATAGGTCAGCAATGAGAGAAGGAAGCTAATAGAGGTTATGCCTTCACAGGTATGATTATCTGGAATTTACCGACGCTAGAGGTCGGAAAACACGCTATGACACAAAAGTTGGCACTGATAAATGGCCCAAGGTGAGTGATAGTCCCAGAAAGAGGTACCTACTTCTGCACCAATGCTTTTCCTTTTGTCAGCCTTCAGGGGGCAGTAGAGGTAAGGTCTTTGAAGGGAGGCATTTATGTTACACGTTTGTGAAAGGAAGGATTTATATCAGAGTTTGACCAGCTATAGTCTGTCACCTGTTTTGTAAACAAATTTTTTTGGAACACAGCCATGCCTGTTTATCATTTATAGCTGCTTTGGCACTGCAGTGGCAGAGTTGAGTAGTTGCAGCAGACAGCGTTGTCTAGAGTAAATGAAGAGCCTTCATCCTTAGCAAGAAGTGCTGGTGGGTCTAGGAGGATGGCCCAGACCATGTGATGGAAGCCAAGAGTCTGCCTCACAGTTAGAGCTGCTTGAGCTCTTGGGCTGGAGGTTTAGTACTGCCTCAGACTGTTGACCTTCTCTCCATGGTCAGTGGTCTTGGCAGGAGCAGAGGCATGGAAATGTGACCACTGGCTGAGTCGGTAGTGGACAGATGGTCACCCCAGGTGTAGAAAGCTGAGCAGCAGTATTCTGCCAACTCTCCTTCTTCATGGGGTGTGGCTGTGAATGGTCTGTTTCCGTCACCCCTTTGTACATTTCTCCGTTAGTCATTTTGGACATGTGGAAATAGAGATCAATTTTAAACTGAGATGTTTCTCGTCATGAAGAGCATGCTGATTTCTGAAGCACTCCTCCTCTAATCTGTCTGACCACATGATTTCTGTTTGTCTCTAGAAAGTGACCTTCAAGGCCGGTCCTCGGTTGCAGTTCCTCTTTCACTCTGACAGCAGTCACAACGAATGGGGCTACAAATTCACTGTCACTGCCTGTGGGCTGCCCGATGTTGCCGTGTCTTGGGGGCTGGATTTACAGCTCCTCGTCTCCCGGCTGATGGGACGCCTGGCTTCCCAGTGCATGGCGCTCAAGTCTGTGCGCCGTAAGTGCACATCCCTGTGCTTTCCCTTCTTACAACCACGGTGAAGTGCAAGATGCGCGCTTGCCCTCTTGTAGGTCGTTTCCACGTAATGGCAGGGGGTTAATAATACGCCTTTTCAGTTTCCTTTAAACCGAAAGAATAAAGTGTCCACTCAATACCATTGTCACGAAGCTTTTTGCCTTAGACTTTGGAACATAGCAGGAAGGCTGCCATGGGTTCTCTGTCTATGGAGGATAACAGCTTTTTTTTTTGGCAACATTGTCATTTTTTTGCAAGTAGGTGTAGGTATAGTCCAACCAAAAGGCAGGAGTATAGAATAAGTTGATTGCATATCCTTTAAATATGTGAATATTTATGTAAATATATGTAGATATGTGACTATGGATTTTGTTTTAAAGTGATTCATTCAGGGCTGAGCAAGGTGGCTCATGCTGGTAATCCCAGCACTTTAGGAGGCCAAGGTGGGAGGATTTCTTGATCCCAGGAGTTTGAAACCAGCCTGGGCAGCATAGTGAGATCCCTATCTTTACCAAAAAAAATGTAAAAATTAGCCAGGTGTGGTGGCATATGCCTTTTGTCTCAGCTACTTGGGAGGCTGAGGCAGGAGGATCACTTGAGCCCAGGAGTTAGAGGCTGCATGCAGTGAGCTGTGATCATACTGCTGCACTCCAGTCTGGGTAACAGAGAGAGACTCTTGTCTCTTAAAACAAAAGGAAAAAGATGTGTTCAGTATAATTGTTTATTTAATTCTTCCAGGGAACAAGAATTACAGAATAAAACTTTCTACTGTATTTTATTTCTTGATCATTTCTTGAGTTTTTCCAGTTTTAGAAGTAAAATATAGAAAAATTACATAGTGGAAAAAAACAAAGGAAAATAGAATCATCCTTAATCCTAACACTCAGAAGTAACTGATTTTTTTAATATTTCTCCAAGAAAGAAAGAAATAGCTATTAGCATTTTTATTTCCACCTATTCTTTTCTCTTTGCCTATTCTAAACACATCTATGCTGGATATTTATTATTTGCTACAGAATTAAGTTTACAAATTGTGAATGTTTTTCCATAATTAAATGTTCCTGAATGGCCTCGTGTTATATGCCAGAAATGGTTCATATCCTATTTTCAGCTTACTATAAACAGATTAGTCATTTCCAAGGTACCTTGTAACTGAAGTTGTTCCACAGAGCAGCAGTATTTCAGGACTTGGTGGTTTAGCTTAATCTGTGGTATGTGTTTACAAAGTATCACAATTACATTCTGGTATGTGGGTAAACTTTCTCTAAGTTTTAATAGTATCCATGGTTTTTTTTAACCTTTTCTTTCTCATTTCAAAGATTCTCAATATATTAAGGCAAAAATAGAACTGTCATATGTCTTCTTCTCTTTCTAGAGTTAGGAAGTAACATGGTAGTACCTCAGGCAAAAATGGCATTAGTCCTAAGCTCCCCACTGTGGAAACCTGTCTTCAGGCATCAGGTTTGTCCAGAGTTGGAATTAGAAGCAAGCTGGCCCACTCACCCACACCGGAATAGTAAGGAGGTATTTACTCTTCCGTTTTCTTTCTATTTAGACTGGAAACTGCCTGCAAGTATTTATTACTTTAAGTTATAAACACTTGTGTTTCTATCTTACTACCCGTATTAAGCAGTTAGCTCCTTGAGGCCAGAAACTATACCTTGTTAACTTGTTAACGCCACCGTGTCCCACAGGGGCCAGTGCGCAATAGGTGTTCAGAAATACTGAATGCGTGACTTGGGTGAAATGTAGGAGGTGCTCAGTAAATCTCTGTTGATGGAGTTATCAGGCAAACAATTGAGTGTACTTCTAGTGCCTACTGAGTCAAGCTTTAGAGCAATGATTTGTGCTATACCTTTTGTTCTCCTTAGAATTACAGCACATGATTTAGGTGTATAAGATTTTAAAAACTAAAAAGTTTGCCCTGTCTTTATTTTTCACCTCTCCTTCCCTCTATTTCTGTATTCTACTTTTCTTCCTTCCCCTCCCTGCCCTGCCCCACGTTATTCAGTAGTTAATTGCCAAATCCAGTGGCTCTTCCTCAGCTTCTGTTCTCCTTGCCTCTGTTAAATTTGGCTCCTTCAGACCCTCTCTTCTTTGGATCCATGCTAGTCCGCTGTCTTCTCTTACATCTGACTGCCCACTTGCCTCCTTCATTGACTTTTCATATTCCTCCTTCCCTAAAGGGTAGGCTTTATTCAGGCTTTCTTCCCTTCCCCACAGCCCACCAAGACTTCATCCTCTCCACTTTCTTCTCCTGTCAAACATTGTGGCCCTAATTCCTAATATCAGTCTCCAGGTCTGGTTTTCTCCCCGCTCCAAGTACCTGTTTCCATCTTCCTGTGAGGCATTTCCATTTAAATGTCCTGACTCCCCTTAACTCAGAAGTGTAAAACCAAAGACCGGTCACTTCTGTGGTGGTCAGTGTTCCCCAGGCCTGAAGCCACTGCTCCCTAGCATCCCCTGTCCTCACCTGTCTCCCCATTCCTGTCCAGTCAGCTTGCAGGTCCTGTGGATTCTTCCTCATGATGTTCATCTCTGTCCTTTCCTCTGTCTGCATCTTTATCCGGGCCCTCATTTGCACCTGCCTTATGACATTCGTACCTACCAAGTTTTTTTTATAATCACTGCATTATCTTGTCATTCCACTGCCAAGCACCATTAATGGCTCCCCATTGCCCACAGGGTGAAGTCTAACTCCTCAATGTGACAGTCAAGGCTCTCTGCAGTCTCCTTTCACCTTACCTATCTGACTCTAGTTCCCATCACTCCCCAGCTGAGACTTCAGGCCAGGTCAGTCTCCCCACTGACTCGTAACCTCTGCTAATGGTTATGTTCCTCAGAGCCAAATCTGCCAATCCTTCAGGGTCCAGGCCAAAGCCCATATCCTCCAGGAGGCTTTTCTTAATTACTTTAACCTACCAGGATCTCTCTCCTTTGAATTCTCAGCACTGGGTATCCCTTCTAGGCATTTGGCACTTGATAATCTTTTGCTTTACGGGAATGCTAGTTCTAATGCTTTTAATGTTTTATTTATGTTTATCTTTTTTTAACTCATATCTCTGTCTGGTCTTCCTAAAATAGATTTAAACTTCCGGAGAGTGTTCACTGTGTTTTATACTTCTGCTTTGGCCTAATAGTTTGCTCAATAAATTTTATTTTTTGAATGAATGTGTTAAATGTGATGGGTTTATTTTTTGTTTCCAGGTTAAGAACATTCCTGACGACCCCTGCCGCCATTTTCTTCTTGATTTTGCCCAGTCAGAGCCTGCTCAGAACTTCTGTGGGCCATATTCAGAACTTTTCAAAGGATTCATACAGGCATGTAGAAAACAGGCCCCAAAGACAGATATAGTTGCTGGTTCCACTATTGATCAAGCTGTGAACGCCACCTTTGCTGCTCTGGTGTATCGCACTCCAGATTTATATGAGAAGCTGCAAAAATATGGTAACTTTATTACAGGGAATATTTTTGATCTGAAGGCTAATTGCTAAGTTTTAAGAAAGCCTATCTTAAGTGAACATTTAAAATATTTTAAAATATAAACACATTTCTATAACTGTAAACATCATCTTGTTGGTTCTACTTTGCCTATTAAAAGATTCATGGCCACTTTATGGTTAGCAGATTATAATGTGTGGCACCTAACCTTGAGTTGCAAAATTAGCAGGTAAATTATCTTTATCCAGAATTCTCATGGAAAACTGCTGAGAAATTTAATGGAAAGAAACCTTAACTTGGGTCCTGGTCCCAGTGCAAAAACTCAAAAGTTGTGCAGCTTCAGGTTAATCAGACGACCTTTCTGCACCTCAGTTTCTTTATCTGTAAAATTGGTTTAAGGGTGATTCGCTCTAACATTCTAAGAAATTCCAATTAAAACCACAGATGTTTAAGTTCTTGAATGTAGTAATAACCAAGGAGGAAGCTGTAGGTATTAACTATTACCTTTAGCTAGCTTGCAGCGCCTTCGTAGCATCACCCCACTAGGCTTCCTTTGCTGATAACCTTCTCCTCACCATCTCTTTTCCTCATGTCTCTTAGGGATGCCATCTCTGTATTTACCCTGCTTCCCTGCCGCCTAGCAGGACCCACACGGAGGGAGAGTCTCTCTCTACCTTCATACTAATTCAGGGGAAAAGTGTTTCAAGCCCTACCTAGAGATAAGGCATGGGCTTCCTAACCGCCTGGCAGGGTATGTCTTCTCCACGCAGCGCAGGCGGGAGAAGCAAAAACAGAGCTTCCTTCCACTAGAGTGGGTAATTGACTGTTGCTCATTTTGTTTTGTTTTGTTTTACTTTTTGAGACGGAGTCTCACTCTGTCACCCAGCCTGGAGTGCAGTGGCGCGATCTTGACTCACCACAACCTCCACCTCCCGGGTTCAAGCGATTCTCCTTCCTCAGCCCCCCGAGTAGCTGGGATTACAGGCACCCATCAACACGCCCGGCTAATGTTTGTATTTTTAGTAGAGACGGGGTTTCGCCCTGTTGGCCAGGCTGGTCTTGAACTCCTGACCTCAGGTGATCTGCCTGCCTCAGCCTCCCAAAGTGCTGGGATTACAGACGTGAGTACCGCGCCCAGCCTCGTTTTGTTATTATTGATATTTTTATTCCTACCACCTTTATTGCTCATTTCTTTGGATCTCACATTGCAGAATTTATTTTCTGATTGTTAAAACATCTTGATTACATCCCCAAATCTTAATATCTCCTTTAAAAAGCTGCTCAAATAAACAAAACTGTGTTGAGACATGAGTGATTTATGGAAACAAATGTCATATGGAAGAGTTTTTCTCTGCTGAGGAATCGAGGGGGTGATGTAACCTGTATGGTTTTGGCGGGGGGAATGTCAATATGTATTTTTGTAATCAAATTATAGTAAGAAAGCTGGATAATCTTTTTACTTGAAGGAATTTTCAGTAGAGGGATAAAAGCCTGTGGGTTAAAAGCTGAGAAATGGAAGGCTTCCTGCTGTGGGAAACTTCAGGCTGTGTTCAGATACCACATACCTGTTTGCAGAAGAGAAAACACACAGTCAACTGTGGGAACTCTACAACTGTGGGAACTCGGAATGTCTTGCTGTGTGCAGGTTGTTTCTAGAATGCCTGCCATTATTGGTTTGAAGGAGGCCAGGCTTGTCTTAGTTCTTTCTGTCTCTGCCTTTGTGATATAGATATTGATATAGATATTATATGTCTAAGGACTATTTCTGAGTTAAGACTGAACTACTTTGAGAATGGTCTTTGTCTAGCAAATTTGCTCATCTTTGTCTAAAAATTAGTCACTCTTTGGGGTTAGAAAGGGTGGGGAGGAGTTTTTCAACTTGAATATAAGCTGCTTGAGGGCAGGAACTTTGTTTTTCTCAGCATAATATTCCCAGTGTCTGGTACAGCCCTGGCGTATTCCAGGGCTTCAGGAATTACTTACTGCATTGTAACATAGATGCAAAAGAGAGCTTCATGCTGTTCTAGTATATTATCCTTTGGGTTTTAGCTGAAGAGAAGGGGCAAGCCTCATAGATCTTTCTTTAAAAATTTTTTTTGTTAGGCTGGGTGCAGTGGCTTTACGCCTGTAATCCCAGCACTTTGGGAGGCCAAGGCAGGTGGATCACCAGAGGTCAGGAGTTTGAGACCAGCCTGGCCAATATGATGAAACCCTGTCACTACTAAAAATACAAAAATTTGCCAGGTGTGGTGGCAGGTGCCTGTAATTCCAGCTACTCGGGAGGCTGAGACAGGAGAATTGCTTGAATTGCTTGAACCCGGGAGGCAGAGGGTGCAGTGAGCCAAGATCGCGCCATTGCACTCTAGTCTGGGAAATGAGCAAAACTCTGTCTCAAAAAAAATTGTTATTTTTCTAATTATAAACAAAACCTGTTTATGTAGCAACCTAAGTATAGAAAAGCTTAAAATAATTATCAGCTACAGTCTCACCACTTAGAACCTTTATGAATGTTTTTCTATTTACCTGGACTTTATGTAGGTATATTCATATGTATGTATATTTGTATATATATATGTGTATCCATACACATTTTATTTTTTTGTTTGTTTTTAGAGACAGGGTCTTGCTCTGTTGCCTAGGCTAGAGTGCAGGGGCACAGTTGTAGCTCACTGTAACCTTGAATTCCTGGTCTCAAGTGATCTTCCTACCTCAGCCTCCCTAGTAGCTAGGACTACAGGTGCATGCCGGTGTGCCTGGACAATTTTTTATTTTTTGTAGAGACAGAGTCTTGCTATGTTGCCTAGGTTGGTCTCGAGCTCCTGGCCTCAAGCAATCTACCTTCAGTCTCCCAAAGCACTGGGATTGGAGTTTGAGGCTGCAGGGAGCTATGATGGTGCCACTGCACTCCAGCCTGGGTGATAGAGTAAGACCCTATCTCTTAAAAAAATTTAAACAATAAGAATAATAAAAATAAAAAGTGCTGGGATTATAAGCATGAGCTGCTGCACTTGGCTTCCATGTTTTAAATATATAAACTCTCTTTAAATAAGATCATTTTATTTATACTGTTTCATAACCTGCTTTTTTACTTAATATACCATGAACTTTCTTCCATATCAATAAATACTTTTTTACTCACTGTTAATATTCTAAAATTTTTACTTTTAGTATTTTTATATCTTTTAATATTTTACACACTTTTAAAATTATTTCCATTTTAGAAATTATTAGTTTGAAAAAAGTTAGTTTGAAATAACACAGGAACCCACACAGGTATTTGTGGCTTAATTGAATATTTTTTTCCCTGAGTCTCTCTTACCATCCTCAATGTGTGATTGTCAGGAGGACTTTTCCTGTACTTCAGCAGATTTAGATTTTTTGTGCTTAATGTTGCAGTAGTGAATTGTGTTACCTGAATGTAATCTCCATCTCTGCTTCTCTCCCCAGTCAACAGTGGGGGCAAAATAGCCCTGAGTGAAGAGTTTGCCCAGGTTTATTCCTTGGCAGATGGGATTCGAATATGGATGGTAAGATTTTCTTTGCATGTGATTTTGCTATATTTTAGGTTTTCTACCGTGATATCATGGAATTAAGATGAATTGTTCTCTTCTCAAGAATATAGCTTTAGGATTTTTGTTAAGCTAAAGTTTAGTGACATGAATAGATATAAAACAATTTAGAACCCTTGAAATTATAGTCTGGACAGTTGAAAATAGAGGAAACAGAATTTAGTTGACCCCTCTTTACATCCCTTCGTGGAACTCCGTAGAGTTGGCGGAACAGCATCGCTTTAGATACTAGGTAACCATGGCCAGTTTTAGGTCTCAGCATCACGTAGAGATGTCCCCTCTGAAATTTTGGTTCAATCTGCAGCAGACTGGGTTTATGACCCTAGTAAGACTCTTCATTTCTCTAGATCTCAGCTTCTTCTTTATCAGTACTAGATAGGCTTTAGAGAAAGCCCCCTGCAGCACCAGTGTTCTAGAAATTTTTAAGTAATAAGGTTGTGAGTATTACAAACCCCTCTAAATGATACAACTGTGAAGTACTCTGTGGTGTCAGTGCTGTGTGCTTTTGAAGTAGTTTGCCATGGCTGTCCTTGCTTCCCTGCCTGGACAGCATAATGATGTGGCTCAAATTCTCCCCTAGTTAGAGATGAAGCAGAAGTCCCTGATGAGCCTGGGGAATGAAGCAGAAGAAAAACATAGTTCAGAAGCTACTGAGGTGAACCCTGAGAGCCTGGGTGAGTGTGCTAACACCAGCTGTTGTCCCTGAGCCTTCTGTTTTCGTTTTAGAGCCTGGAAAACCAATTACTCACCTTCTAGATTATCTTAATTGAGGCTGTGTTGACCTAGGGAAAGTAACACAGATGCTAAATATAGTATCCAAGGATGTATCATAAATAGAGAAAATCCCAAAGAGGAGTAATGTTTTATTGGCCTGCTCCAAATGGAACATCTTTCTAATCACTTCTCTTAGGCGGCATCAGGTGCTTTTTGAGCTACATCTTTTTTCTTTTTTGAGATGGGGTCTCGTTCTGTCTCCCAGGCTGGAGTGCAGTGGTTCAGTCATATAGCTCACTGCAGCCTCCCACTCCTGGGCTCAAGCAATCTTCCCGCCTTAGCCTACCGGGTAGCTGGGACATCAAGCAGGTGCCACAACACCTGGCAAATTTTTTTTTCCTCTTTGTATCGCCTGTGTTAAGCAATTAAAAACTTTTTTTTAGAGAAGGGGTCTCACTGTGTTGCCCAGGCTGGTGTCAGATTCCTGGCCTCAAGTGATCCTCCCACCTCAGCCTCCCAAAGTGCTGGGATTATAGGCATGAGCCACTGCACCTGGCCTTGTTATGATTTTAAAGTGTGCTCACACTGAATATTCAGTGAAATAAAAGAATTACTATTATTTTTTAAATATTATGGTTGTTATTTTTTAAAACTCATATATTTTTAAGAGAAATATGCTAAAAATTTTTACAGATAAAATAGTGTGGTGCTGGAATGTGTGTGGAAGTAATCCGGGGAGTGAGGGGTTGATGGGGGTGAAACAAGATTGGCCGTGAGTTAATAATGACGGAAGCTGAGTGACAGGTACATGGAAGGGTCCTTATGGTATTTTCTCTATATACATGTTTGAAAACATCTACAATAAAACTTTTTCTAAAAAGTGTGCTGATAGTACTGGCGAGATTTTGATTTCTATAATGAGATAAAATTTGATTCTGTTCTTCTATTCTGTCAGTAAATATGTGTATCACTTTTTCGTTTTTTGGTTTTTTTGTTTGTTTTTTTTTTTGGAGACAGTGTCTCACTCTTTCGCCCAAGCTGGAATGCAGTGGCATGATCTCGGCTCACTGCAGCTTCAACTTCTCAGACTCAAGCAATCCTTCAGCCTCAGCCTCCCAAGTAGATAAGATTATAGGCGTGTGCCACCATGTCTGGTTAATTTATTGTTTTTTTATAGAGATTGGGTTTCACCATGTTACCCAAGCTGAGGTATCACCCCAAGTGATCCTCCTGCCTTGGCCTCCCAAAGTGCTGGGATTACAGGCGTGAGCCACCACACTAGGCCTATATCACTTTATTCATGAAGCTGTCTCTTGCCCTAAATTGTGACATTTAACTTATTTTCTCTACAGAAGTAGGCAATAAATTTAAACTTTTTTTTTTAACTTTAAATTCTAGGGTACATGTGCACAACGTGCCGGTTTGTTACATATGTATACATGTGCCATGTTGGTGTGCTGCACCCATTAACTCATCATTTACATTAGGTATATCCTCTAATGCTATCCCTCTCCCCTCCCCCTCCCCCATAATTTTAACTTTTTTTTTTTTCAATTATGATTCTTGTTTGCATCTAGCAAAAGAGTGCATTGAGAAGAGTCTTCTATTACTAAAATTTCTGCCCACGGGCATAAGTTCAAAAGAAAGCTGCGAAAAGTTGGAGACTGCTGATGAAACCAGTCATCTCCAGCCACTCAACAAGCGTCAGAGGACAAGCTCTGTGGTGGAAGAGCATTTCCAAGCCTCAGTATCTCCCACTGAAGCCGCACCCCCTGCCACAGGAGACCAGAGTCCTGGCCTGGGCACCCAGCCAAAGCTGCCATCCAGCAGTGGCCTTCCTGCTGCAGACGTGTCCCCTGCCACAGCTGAAGAGCCCTTGTCACCTTCCACACCCACCCGCCGGCCTCCCTTCACCCGAGGGCGACTCCGGCTGCTCTCCTTTCGATCCATGGAGGAGGCCAGACTGGTGCCCACAGTGAAAGAGAAATACCCTGTGCTGAAGGACGTCATGGACTTCATTAAGGATCAGTCGCTCTCGCACAGGAGGTAAGCCCGTTGTTACCTTCCTGTCGCTTTCTCTTTTTAAGCCGTAGGTACCCAGTCTAGTCAGAGGCTTGAAGTTCATGTTAAAAACGAACAAATAATATTTAGGATAGATCAAGACTTGTTTTAGAATATTCAAGAAAAGTTTTGATTTTTTTTTTTTTCTTTAAAGAAGTAATTTTTGGGTGGGCACGGTGATTCATGCCTATAATCTCAGCAGTTTGGGAGGCCAAAGTGGGAGGATCACTTGGGATCAGGAATTCAAGACCAACCTGGGCAACATAGTGAGACCCCCCCCCCTCCATCTACAAAAAATTTTTTTTAAAAATTAGCTGAGGCTGGGTGCGGTGGCTCACGCCTGTAATCCCAGCAATTTGGGAGGCTGAGGCAGGTGGATCACCCGAGGTCAGGTGTTCGAGACCTGCCTGGCCAACATGGTGAAACCTCATCTGTACTAAAAATACAAAAATTAGCTGGGCGTAGTGGTGGATGCCTATAATCCCAGCTACTCGGGAGGCTGAGGCAGGAGAATTGCTCAAAGTTGGAAGGCAGAGGTTGCAGTGAGCCGAGATCACGCCACTGTACTCCAACCTGGGCGACAGAGCAAGACTCTGTCTCAAAAAAAAAAAAAAAAATGACCTGAGTGTGGTGGCACCTGCCCGTAGTCCCAGCTACCTGGGAGCCTGAGGCAGGAGGATCACTTGAGCCAGGTAGGTTGAGGCTACAGTAAGTCAAGATTATGCCACTTAACTCCAGCCTGGGTGATAGAGCAAGACTGTCTGAAAAACAAAAAAAAGATATTTTTTCATGTAAGATTTATATATTATACTGTTTATAAAGTATATCTCAAGAACGTACCGTTAGAATTTTAAAAGGAAGCATTTTTTGGGTAGCTGCCACTTATAAAACTGTCTTATTTTAACCCAGGGAGAAATTTGGATTTGGCATTTTCTAGAAACATGGCCGCCCTATGTTACCCAGGCTGGTCTCAAATGCCTGGGTTCAAGGAATCTTTCTGCATCAGAGGGTTACAGGCATGAGCCACCACACCCAGCCAGGATTTGATATTTTCCAACAAAATTATTTGTTCATAGGCCTACATCTCTGGAAGTATTGCATGTTTAAGTTAGTGAGGAATTTCCTGTCCTAAGAATTAAGGCTTTGTCTCTATGGAAAGTGAAAATATCAATGTTCCTTTTTAATTCGTTAAGTTAAATAATGGGTTGTCGGACTTCTGGACAGTTGGCATGAACTGATTTGTAGTGCTGCTGAGTGATGACTTAAAAATAGTAAAGAGGTATTGGTACTTCTCCTACATGGTGTTTCTAATACCTCACAATAGTGTTTCCTCTTTGATATATGGCATCAGGGCTTTGGCGGGGATATTTTCCGTCTGCCCCAGCTCAAGAGTTTTCTGGGTGTTCCTGACTTGCATTGTGTCTCCAGTGTTGTGAAGGTTCTTTCCCTGAGGAAAGCCCAGGCCCAGAGCATCCTGGAAGTCCTGAAGATAACTCAGCACTGTGCAGAATCCCTTGGGCAGCCCCACTGCTTCCATCCACCTTTCATACTTTTCCTGTTGGAACTTCTGACCTGTCAGAAAGATTTTACCAAGTAAGTACAAAGGACAGGTCCAGAAGGAAAACAGCAAAGATCATTGTAAATAAATCCTGATTATCTTCTCTGATTAATAGCAGCATCATTTCTATGTAGGATACAAATGTACGTTTTTGGTTAATTCATTCTCTCATTCCAAGGAAAGATGGGTTATATCCTTTTAATATGTAACTGCCGGGAACATATTTATTCCTCCTGGTGAGTTGATGAGCTTTACTTTCCAGATGGTGAGAATTGCATTCCTCATATACTCATGCATCATTTGGCTCCTGGAAGCTGTGAGCTAAATATAAGGCTTACAGAAAAGATATTAATCTGAGTACCTCAAAAGGTGGTTCTTAGGATTAACTCAATAAATACCTTTTGAGCATCTAGTGTGCTAGAATGTCTTCTGGGTGTTATGCAGCAGTAGACAAGGCAGATTTTATATTATATTGAGGAGAGAGAGACAGTAAAAAACCAAATAAATGAAAAAATACCAGATAGTGATATTGTTATGTGGTGATTAATACAGTGACCTAGTTTGGATGGTCAGGGAAGGCAGGCTGAGGAGATGAAAGCCAAAGAGGTGAATGACCAGCTAAGATCAGAGAGAAGAGCCTTGAAGGCAGAAGGAACAGTGCAGAGGCTCCAGGGGGGGAGTTAGTCCAAGGAACAGAGCGAAAACCAGTGTGGCTGAGTGACAGGGAAAATGGGATGGGATAAGGTGAGAAAGGCAGGACCCTTATCACTGTAAAGTATTTCGATGTTATACCAAGTTGTAGTTGGGAAACCACTGGAGATTTTTAAGCCCAGGAGGATCACACTTTGTTTTATATTTATAAGAGGTGCCCCTGGCTGCTGTGTGAAAAGAGGTGGAAATAAGAAAAGCAGTTAGGAGTCTGTGGCAGTAGTCCAGGCAAGAAATGATGGTGGTTTGATCCAGAGAATAATACTGGAGATGGGGAGGAAAGGATGAGATTCAGAATGCATTTTAGAGGTAGAGTTGTCAGGACTTACGGTTGGATAAGATGGAGAGGGTAAATGAAGGAAAGGAATCATGGGAAACTCCTAGGATTTGGGAGTGAACAGCTGGTGGATAGTGATGCGTTTTAGTGAGGGAAAGAGTATGGAAGAAACAGATGGGGGTGAAAATCAAAAGTTTTGTTTTGGCCACGTTAAGCTGGAAATCTTTTTTGTAAAGATACCAAGTAAAGATATTGAGAAAACAGAGGTCAGCGTTTTAACTAAAGTTACGGAAAGAAGTCAGGACTAGGGATAGAATTTGGATGCAGTTGGCATGTAGGTGACATTTAGAGCCATAAGACCTCCTAGAAAGGGTGCAGAGATGGACAAGAAGGGGCCTGGGACTGAGCCTTAGGGACACTTCTTTACCTAGAAGTCAAGCAGAGAAAGGAGTGTCAGCTAAGGAGATCAAGAAGCAGTGGCCAGTCAGGTAGATCAAAAACCAGGGGATGCTGTTGTCCCAGAAGTCAAGAGAAGAATGGATCTCAAAAGATAAGAATGTCAGGTGAGTGCCCTTCCCTGGAAAAGAAAAAAGATAAGAATGATCAGTTGTGTCAAATACTAATGTGAGAGTTCGAAAGAGATAAAAACACACTGGATTTGACAGCAGTCTTACTGGAGCCATTGGCCAAAAGGCCAGCGAGAATGAGGGTGATAAAATGGAGAGACTACAGACATTTAGTTTAAGAAATTTGGCCTCAAAGGGAGCAGAGAAACGGGGAAGTTTTTGGAGGGCGATGTGAGGTCAACTGAGGGTTTCAAAGAGATGTAAGAGTACTTCTGTGTGTTGGTGGGAATGAATCAGTGATAAGGAAACTTGGTGCAGGAAGAGAGGGGATAATTTGCAGTAGCAGTTGTATAAGTTGAGAGATTGGCCTTTGATTGAACCAGGGAGGCTCTTATCTGTAGTAGTGAGGAAATAGGACACACGGTGTCCACAAGTTGGCTGGTAGATATTTGGTGGTGCAAAGGTAAGGGAATTCCTATGTGATTGTTACTTTTCTTTCTCAAGATACCTAAGTTTCTCTTTTAAAAAGTAAAATATAAGGATAGTCATCAGAGAGAATGGAAGGATGAGAAGGAGGTAGTGGTGGCATCAGGAGAAGCAGGAAGGGGTTTTTTGGTGGGGGTGGGGGGTTGAGTGTTTTTTTTGTTTGTTTTTTGTTGTTGTTGTTGTTGTTTGTTTTTTTGTCTTGAGACAAGAGTTTCGCTGTGTCACCCAGGCTGGAGTGCAGTGGCATGATCCCGGCTCACTGCGGCCTCCGTCTCCCAGGTTCAAGTGATCCTCCCGCCTTGGCCTCCTAAGTGTGTGCCACCACACTCGGCTAATTTTTGTATTTTTACTAGACACTGGGTTTCCCCATGTTGGCCAGGCTGGTCTTGAACTCCTGACCTCAATTGATCCGCCCGGCTCAGCCTCCCTAAGTGATGGGATTACAGATGTGAGCCACCATGCCTGGCCTATGGGAAGGTTTGATAGTAATGAAAATTGAGAAAGCCAGTCTACTGAATTGCCTGACAATTTTGAGGGCTTATTTGATCATTATGGTTGCAAATTTAAAGTCATACTAGTCAGCTTGCTTGTGTGGTGTTTCCTCCATGACATTCAGCTGTTTTGATATAGGTATAAGATTTCTCAGGCAAGTACATGGAGGAAGGAAGGGACACGGGAGTTAGTGTTTGCTAAGGTATGATTATGGGCCATGGAATCTAAGCTGAGAAGGGAGCAGAGAGAAAGCATGGCAGGAGTAGTAGATAGTGAACATGAGGCAGCGTCCTGGGCTGACGCCCACTGGTATTGAAGAAAAGGCTGCTGTTGGAGTCCTACCTGGGTGAGCAGGAGAGCTGGGGTCAGAGTAGGGTGCTCTGGCATCAGTGTGTCAGAGATGATGTCATCACATGATAACAAGGTCCAGGAAATGACCATCAAACTAAGATGGCTAAGGGCGTGGAAGAGAAGATCACTGGAGATGCAGATGGCAGAGAATTGAGGGAAAAAGGAATGGAGACATCATTTTCATGGATGTTGAAGTCACCAAGATGGCCAGGATCATGGTAGAAAAGACAGTGAGGCTGGTGCCAAAGTCATCAATGAAGGGAGGCAGAGGGGTGAGCGTGATTGTGTGGAGAGGATCAAATGAGGTCATTTGTGAAAAATACTTAACACAGTATCTGGCACCCAAGTAGTGGTGGGAGGGATGGGTTTATATTCACAAAGAAGATAAATAATCTCATCTCCATGCTTCTGGGTAACTCTCTTGAGCCCGTCAGAGGGACTCACTTGCTGTTTTGTGTGTTACCTTCTATAGGTATTATATTTGTATTTACTTAAGTTCCTGTGCCGCTTTGCTCAGCTGACTGCCACTTGCTCTTTTTCATGTAAGAAATCATTATTATTATTAAGAAAAAGATGTTCTGGCAATTAAGTGAATCAGTGATTTCCTCTGTTTCTAGTTATTTTGGACACCTGGAAGGCTGTGGTGCTGATCTACACAAAGAAATTCGAGACACTTACTATCAACTTGTTCTGTTTTTGGTCAAAGCAGTTAAAGGATTTAGTAGCCTAAATGACAGGTACTGGATAACTTTATCATTTCTAGAGAAAAAAAATGTATTTTTTTCTGATTATAAAAGAAATATATGTTCACTGTCAAAAATACCAAAAAGCACAAAGAATAAAATAAAAATAACCTCTAATGTTACCACCTAGAGAGCTAATCACTAATGTTAACTTATTCGTATATTTTCTCCCAGTCCTTTTTCTGTCTGGTGTGTATATTTTCTTTTTAAGGGGATGAGTCTGGGTTTTTCTAAGAATTTATAGCCTATTATTTTCTGTTTTGGTATATTAGGGATTTTTTGGTTTGTTTTGAGACGGCCTCATGCTGTCACCCAGGCTAGAGTGCAGTGACTCAATTGTGGCTCACTGCAGCCTGGACCTCCCAGGCTCAATTGATCTACTCACCTCAGCTTCCTAAGTAGTTGGGACTGCAGGTGCATGCCACCATGCCCGGCTAATTTTCTTTATGTTTTGTAGAAACGGGATTTTGCCATGTTGCTCAGGCTGGCCTTGAGCTCCTGGGCTCAAGCAGTCTGCCTGCCTCGGCCTCCCAAAGTGCTGGAATTACAGTCATGAGCCACCACGCCCAGCCAGTATATTATGTATTATGTACAGTTTGAAAACGAGTATAAAGCCATTTCCCAGTCCTCTTAGTAAATGGTTTAGACATAAGCCTTAAATCAAATGATTCTTCGGTAAATCTAAACTGCATAACCTTGGCTAATTTGGAGCTGGCCCTGATCTTGCAGTTTATCAGAAAGTGATTTTCACTTCTCAGTTCTTTACCATAAGATACCCCTGTGGTGGTCCTGGCAGGGTGGAAACCTTACTTTACACTTTTCAGAGTTATTTTGTGTAAGCTTTGAAGGATGTTTGTGTGGAGTATGAGGAATTTGAAAGGAACCCAAACCAGCAATGTGAAGTTCCCTTCTGCTTTCAATTGCAAACCAGGTCACCTACTTGAATTGCTTCTGTTGCCTCTGTTGGGAGTAAGCAGCTCTGCTAATGGTCACTTTCATGGCCCTTTAGGTCCTTGCTCCCTGCCTTATCCTGTGTTCAGACAGCCCTGCTTCATCTTTTGGATATGGGCTGGGAACCCAATGATCTCGCCTTCTTTGTTGATATTCAGTTACCAGATCTCCTCATGAAAATGTCACAGGAGAATATAAGTGTCCATGACAGTGTGATCAGGTAAGAGCACGGTCCTGCGCTCTGCAGTTCCTAATGTAGGTTATGAAACGCAAGGAACATAGTGGGGGCGTTAAGAGCACAGACTCCGGAGCTAGACTGTCTGTGTCATATCTTGGCTTTGCCACATCCTAGCCGAGTGGCCTTGCGCAAGTCTTATAATCCCTCTGTGCCTCAGTTTCCTCATCTTCAGAGCTGGAGATAACAATGGTGCTGCCTCCGAGGCTTGTTGTGATGAGTACCTGAGTTATGTATTTCAGTGTTTAGAACCGCGTCTGGCATGCAGTAGAGCTATGTACATTGGTGGTGGTGAACTCGTGAGCTCTGAGGCCGAGAATCCTCTGCATTTTGGTGATCTTAGTATAGCTTGCTGAATTGGGAAATCCTTTCCATAATTTTTGTTACATGTATATGTTATGTTAGCCACTCTAACTTCTTGCACATTATAAGGACCTCAGTTAGAAAAAAGTCATGTATGAAGGGTTTTTTCCCTCCGATTTGGCCCGTATCTCTCCACTCTACTCAAATCCACTTCCCTATTCGTGGCCATTCATGTGTAGAAAAGAGGAGAAGGGGAGGGGGAATGCACTAAGAGGAGAGAAGTGGGAAGAAGTGAATGAGTCAACACCAGGACAGTCTCCACTCTCTCAGGAGAGCGGTTCCAAGGGAAAAGGGGACAGAATTAGAGCCGTCTCTTTAGTTCACGAACCTCAGCTGTCGCCTCGCTGTTGGAGCTCCGTTGGCAGAGGCGGGGCAGCACTAGGGGGCATGAGCCTGTGGATCTTGGCTGTGGGCCTGCTCGCGGTTTCTCGCTTTGTCTCCCCGCACGCCACAGTCCTCAGGGAAGGAAGCGCGCCCTTTACAGCAAGCCCCCGTGGCACCGAGCGCAAAGCTTGAGTATGAGTGTAGGCCCAAAACCATTTCGTTGGAATGCATGAATGAATGAATGTGTATTTGTAGCTTGGTAAATATTTTGTATTTGCTCTTAAGCAAATCTTTTTCTGTTTAAAGTTCTATTTGTTAAAACGAGCTGTAAACTGAAATTATGGAAATTTACAATTTTGCATCCAAAAGGAACTTATAAGATTATCTACCTGAAGCGCTTTATTTGAAATGAGGAAACTGTGGCCATACCACCCTGAATGCACCTGATCTCGTCTGAAATGGGGAGACTGAGGACCAGGGCTGAGTCATGTGTCAAGGTCTCACAGCAGCTGGTGGTAGAGCTGAAGTCACAGTGTCTCCTGATTCCCTTCTCGTACTGATTCCACCAGGATATGCTGAGCATGTCTAAATCAGACTAAATAATAATAATAATAATAATAATAACTTTATTTGGCCCTAGTGCCTGGCACATAGTAGGTTCACCATAAATGATTGTCCAGTGGAATTATGCCATGTGGTACAACCTTTCAAACTCTTAATTTCTCATCCCTTATAGTCTACTCTGGAAAGGGCTTCTCCTTCTTTCTTGGCATATATCTACCAAATATTTGACAAATCCTGGGGCTTTGAAAAGCAGTTGACCTTTCCCTCTCAGAAGTTGAAAAATGCCCAATATAATAGACCTATAGACACAGGGTCTGCTAACCAGTACTTTCCTTGGTGATTGGGAGAGGCATGCTTTTCTCTCTTTATGTCCTTCTTTCAGCCAATGGAGTGAAGAAGATGAGCTTGCTGATGCCAAGCAGAATTCAGAATGGATGGATGAGTGTCAGGATGGCATGTTTGAGGCCTGGTATGAAAAAATAGCCCAGGAAGATCCAGAGAAGCAGAGGAAAGTAAGACCTCTCAACTAGAGTACTCTGAAGTGATTTGCTAGGAGTTTGGAGAGGAGAGTTTGCCTGGGGGGGTTCTGGCAGGCTCTTACCTGAGAGGGCTGCAGGTGGCATTCAATACCCTAGTGAAGGGGTCCCCAACCGCTGAATGCGACCGAATGCAGGCTGTGAGCAGCAGGCAAGCGAGGGAGGCTGAGCTCCGCCTCCTGTCCGATCAGCTGCGGCATTGGATTTTCACGGGAGCATGAGCCCACAATAAACCGCGCATGCGAGGCATCTAGTTTGTGCGCTGCTTATGAGAGTCTAATGACTGATGATCTGAGGTGGAACAGTTTCATCCCGAAACCATCCCCCACCCAGTCCTGTGCAGAAATTGTCTTCTACGAAATTGGTCCCTGGTGCCAAAAAGGGGGACTGCTGCCCTAGCGTCTGGTGTTTAACCTTTAACCTGAGGGGCTATAAATCCTGATTTGACTACACTCAGAGTGGCTCCCTGCCGTAGAACTAGACTCATTGAAAAATTGGCTCTTAAAGCTGATGTACAATATGAGGTGCCAGTTTACTAATTTACAGTGAGAAATAGAATTGCTGGAGGGCCTGGGCTCTAGTGTCCTTGGAGCAGCACATTCTCTTCCTGTAGACAAGCAGTGTGGGAAGCCACGTTTCCATCAGAAGGCTGCCTGGTGAGCATGGGAGCAGCCGTTATGTATAGAGAGGGCATCAGAGCTGCATGATTCAGATGTGCAAAGGCTCAGGCTCAGATAGCCCACTGTGTCCATCTCCACGTCAGGTGTTAAATCCATCGCTACCACATGTGCCAAGCATCTGCTGCCTCAGATTCATTCATTTTCTAAGTATCGAGTGCCTACTATGTGCCAACCACTTTGTTCACGTAGCACCACTGTGGTGCTTGGATGGAGCTTGCCAAGTGGGCCTTTGTGGCTTTTTCTCTCGCATATGTTAATACCTTTTGGGAGTTCTGTAGTTGTAAGGTGACTTGGCATATTTGCTCTGGTCTACTGTATGACTTACTGATTTAGATCCCTCATTTCCAGGCCCTAAAGAGAAACAATACTGTAGTCCAAGTACTTTCCAGTAAAGCAATTTGTTTGCTCATTAGACAGTACCCAGACTATCCCTGCAGAAAGTTTGCCTGTAAGTGCCAGGGACAGTACTCCTTTTGCAGTGTTTCCTGTATCTGTGAACACTACCATCGTCCAACCACGTACCCAAGCCAGAAACTTTCTTCCCTTTTACTGATCCCTATATCCAGTCGGTCACCAAGGTTTCCCACTTCTGCCTCAACACCTCAAATCTACGCACCTTTCACCATCCCGCCTACTACTCAGTCCCAGCCCTTATAATGTGCCATGGGGTTCCTTTAACGCTTTGGTCATGGTCAGTCTCACTGAGTCCAGGCTTGCCCCTTTGATCCATTCTTTCCTCAACTTCCAGAAGAGCACTCCAGTCCGATCACATTACTCTTCTCTCTAAAAACAATCTGTAACTCCTAAGACTGATATGCAAGGCCCTTTGTGGTTTAACCTTTCTCTCTTCATCTGACTCTTCCCCTCTGTACTGTATTCGACGCACTGAGTCATGCCAGTTTCATAAACCTGTCTCTCATCCCCTTTTTGCTGTCTGTCAAATTTGCTATTTCTATCTGACATGCCCACCTCCCTTACCCCGACCCGTCTAGTACCTGTTTGTCCTTTGGGTCTCACCTGAGGAATTATCTCCTTTGGAAAACCTTCTTTGACCTTCTGAATACCCATTGGTAGCCATAGTCCTCTGTCCTCTAAGCCTCCTGCAATTTCCTGTGAAAGCACTGGTCATACTAAATGGTCATCACCTCCTTGATGGAATTCCCAACTAGACACTGAGGAGCTTATTCATTATCAAATCCTAGCACTTAGTACAATGCCTGGAACATCTTCAGTACCTAGTGAATGGAGGAATTGATTAGTGAATTGTGGCCACCTTAGAAAATCTATCAGTTAATTGTATATGTTTGGCCTTACAGATGCACATGTTCATTGCTCGCTACTGTGACCTGTTAAATGTGGACATCTCTTGTGATGGGTGTGATGAGATTGCCCCCTGGCATCGATACCGCTGTCTGCAGTGCAGCGACATGGATCTCTGCAAAACTTGCTTCCTAGGTAAATTTCATGAACTGGGTACGCCGTATCCAAAGGCAATATCACTTCTGATTTCTATGATCTTGTCATTTTTAAAAACTCTCAGTGTACTAAATCAAAGTACTGCCCAGTGGTATTTTCTCTGACTTCTTGGCGAACATGAGCCTTATCTCCTCAACTAAATGAAAAGCTCCACAGCCCTAATATCTGTCGTGCTTCCTTCTTCTATCATGCTGGGTGTAGCCACATAATAAACACTCGGGACCAGTGTATGTATGTTCAGTGGAGTTTTCAGGAAATAGTGTTTGCTTCTGAATCATGCAGTGTTTACATGTAGCAAAATACACACGCACACATACACAAGCAAGCTTCAAAAATCCTCGTACACTTGACTTCTAGGTGCTGAGGTAAAACAGATGCACAGTAGTGCACACCTGACTGGCCTTTTTGTGCATGGCCCAGTGGTAAGAGACAGCCCTTGCCCTGGAACCATCTACAGTCCAGCAGGAGGACTGGACAGATCCACAGAATGTCTATTCCAGTACAAGAATGTGTGTGCTGAGTTATAAAGGAGGGTACAGATTGTTTCTGGAAAAGTTTAGAAGCAGTAGCAGCATTGCTGCAGGGAAGGCTCGTGAAGGAGGTGGAATGAGAATTGGTTTTTGAAGGAAGTTAGAACTGGATGATGTGTAGGAAACGTTGGGGATGGTATCACCATCAAGGGCATAGCAAACCCTGGGACAGAGGAGTGTCTGTAGTGACTTTAGATGGCCATGCTGAAATGTTTGCCCAACTAAGTGATGGATTAAGACAGGTGGGGCCCCCGACTGTGGGACCCCAAGATACTAGGCTAAGGAGTTTGAATAGTCTAGAGACAGCAGGGAAGGTTTTTGAAGTAGGTATTATTAATAACATGATGAGAGCTATGCTAGAGGAAGGTGGTTCTGTCAGTGCTAAGAGTCTCCTTTAGGAAATCAGTCACAGTATTCACACAGGCATGGGAGCCTGGACTGGGTTCATGACAGTGAGAATGAACAGAAGTGGGCCAGGCGCGAGGAGCATTCTTTAGGGTCCATGACAGAGCTTAGAGTGAGAAGGGCCCAAGGGCCTTAGAGTGAGAAGGAGACCAGTGCAGCCCATCTCTTTCCTGACTGTTATTCTCTCTCACTCACTGGGTCTGGGTCTGGTTTTTTCTCCCCCGCCGCCCTCCCGAGACAAAGTCTCACTCTGTCCCTCAGGCTAGAGTACAGTGGCACCATCTCAGCTCACTGCAACTTCTGCCTCCTGGGTTAAAGTGATTTTCCTGCTTCAGCCTCCCAAGTAGCTGGGAGTACAGGTGCCTGCCACCACACGTGGCTAATTTTTGTATTTTCAATAGAGACGAGGTTTCACCATATTGCCCAGGCTGGTCTTGAACTCTTAGACTCAAGCGATCTGCCTGCCTCGGCCTCCCAAAGTGCTGGGATTACAGGCATGAGCCACAACGCCTGGCCCTTTTTTAATTTTTTAATTTTTATTTTTTTATTTTGGAAGTCTGTTTTCATCTGTGATTCTGGAGTGAAAAAGGAAGAGCAAATATCCTGATCAGTCCTCAGTGCTTGTTAACAGGAATACATCAACAGAAGCTTACTCTTTGTTAGTGGAGGGGTCATAGGAGACAGCTCACAAATTAACATGTGGACTTGTTTCCACCAAACAGCAGTCCTGATAATGCATTTGATCTCACTGTACCATTGCCGAGAAATTCTGTGCCAAGAGTCTCATTCATATGCCTTGAGCCACCCAGGCAGAGCACCCTGTCTCCAGAGAACGCCTGTGGGCCCTGTATCCCTGAGCAGTCACTTGGGAACGGCCCTGGTGCTGGGGTTGGTTTGGGTTTGGAAACTAGCCCATCTAGGAGCCCTCTACCTCATCCCCTCACACTGCTGTGTTTCTCCTCAGGTGGGGTGAAGCCTGAGGGCCACGGAGACGACCATGAAATGGTCAACATGGAGTTTACCTGTGACCACTGCCAGGGTTTGATCATAGGCCGGAGGATGAACTGCAATGTTTGCGATGACTTTGATCTTTGCTACGGATGCTATGCAGCGAAGAAATACTCCTACGGGTATGTCTCAAGTGACCGTCGCCACCAAGCCTTTTATTTACACGTTCCTTCACTTGAAAAGGGACTTCTTTCTTTTTTTAAAAAAGTTTTTTTTATTTAAAAATTTAAACATAACCAAAAGTAAAGAGACTAACACAGTGAACCTTCATGTACCCATTACCCAGGTTCAGCAGTTAGGAAGATTTTGTAATGTGTGCTTAGTTTATTGCTTTTTTTTTTTTTTCCTGTGTTAAAGTATTTTAAAGCCAATTCCAGGACCAGGCTCGGTGGCTCACGCCTGTAATCCCAGCACTTTCAGAGGCCGAGGCGAACTCCTGTGGTCAGGAGTTCGAGATCAGCCTGCCCAACATGGAGAAACCCCGTCTCTACTAAAAATACAAAAATTAGCTGGGTGTGGTGGTGGGTGCCTGTAATCCCAGCTACTTGGGAGGCTAAGGCATGAGAATCGCTTGAACCTGGGAGGCGGAGGTTGCAGTGAGCTGAGACTGCGCCACTGCACTCCAGCCTGAGCGACAGAACGAGACTCCATCTCAAATAAATAAATACATAAATAAAGCAAATTCCAGGCCTTAAATTATTTCCTTCCTACATACTTTATACCCCCCTTTAAAAATTATGGGTTTTATTCACATTACCAAAATGCTATTACCACACCTTCCAAAATCACAATAAGCAATTCTTCCTTAGTCCAATTTCTGCAGACAACCTCTGGGGATTGTGAAACCCTGAAAGGCATGTTCTGTGTTTGTGTTTCTTCATTTTTCTGGAGAGAGGGCCCACACCTTTCTTTACATTTTCAGTAAGCGCATCCTAGAGGTGACTAATGCCCAGTTGCGACCACATGCTCTCCTAAGGCCCTGTGCTCCTGTTTGGAGCCACAAAAGCTTTTGGAGGGTTGTAAGCTTTAAATGTGTCTTGCCTTTGCAGCCATTTGCCTACCCACAGCATCACGGCCCACCCAATGGTAACCATTCGGATCAGTGACCGGCAGAGGCTCATCCAGCCATATATCCATAACTACTCCTGGCTGCTCTTTGCTGCCCTGGCTCTCTATAGCGCCCACCTGGCCAGTGCAGAGGATGTGGATGGGGAGAAGCTGGACCCCCAGACGCGCAGCAGTGCCACCACCCTGCGGAGCCAGTGCATGCAGCTCGTCGGGGACTGTCTGATGAAGGCTCATCAGGGAAAAGGTGACTTCCCAATGCACAGAAACCAAAACCAGCCCTCAGTTGCTGGTGAAAAAAAGCCTTGGCAAATGTAAAATACTAAGCTTAGTTTACAGGTGGCAACATCCACTTTTCCACAAAAGGGGCTTACCCTGGTGTGGAACTTAATTTTTAAGTTCCCCGATGGATTTTAGAGAAATGTTGGCATTGAAGTTCAACATTTAATTTCTCTGAAACTAATATTAATACCTCAAACTAATTTTAAATAATAATTAAAACTCTTTATATCTGTGGATGCAGTCTAGTATTTGAATCTACCAAACTTTGCTGAAAGAATCCAGACTTCTTAACCTGGAGTGTAAATCTGCTTCCACACAAGTGTATTCTAGATGAGAGCTGTTTACGAGTAAAATAGTTTAGCAATATATCGACATGAATCTGACTCGACTAAGGAGTGGTGGGAAGAAAGCAACTTGAAAGTTAAACCTTGGAGACATCTAAGTTCCTTCAGATAATGGCATCCCCATTCTAGTCAACATTAGGGAACCAGGCCTGTATGAGATAGCACATGGGTAACGCCAGCACCTTAGAGCAGTTCCCATACCAGTTTGCCAGTGAGAATTGAGCAGTCTGATTGTGTGGGGCTAGTATAAAAGTATAATGTTGATTATTTTCTAAATAGACAATCCTGTTATATGTTTTATCTTCTGTTGTTAATAAAGTATAAAGTGCAGGTATCCCTTGCTATTCAGCCTCTCACCATCTGAGAGGAGGAGCTGAGTAGATTTAGACAGCGAGGGATGTTCACGTTGAGTCCTCTAGGATTTGGTTTGTGCAGAACTCATTTATTTATTTCTATATAATGGCAAAGTAACTTATGGCACTTGCTGAAAAGAACTCTCATTATAAAACTTCTAACCATTCTCTGATTTGCTTCCCACATAGGCCTTAAAGCTCTAGCTTTGCTGGGTGTATTGCCAGATGGGGACTCGAGCCTAGAAGATCAGGCCCTACCAGTCACTGTGCCCACCGGAGCGTCAGAGGAGCAGCTAGAGAAGAAAGCTGTCCAGGGTGCTGAGCTGTCAGAAGCAGGCAATGTAAATGACGATTCTTTACTACACAGAATCACAGGTTGAACTCTAGAGAGAGCCATTCACTCAGTGCAGCATAGCAGAGAGGTTAAGAGCACAGACTCCTAACCCAGACTGCTGGATTCACATGCCTGCTCCATCAAACCTTGGGCATGTTGTTATCATCTCTTCAGTGTTTGTTTTATTTTCTTTTGTTTTGTTTTGAAACAGGGTCTCGCTGTCACCCAGGCTGGAGTGCAGTGGCGTGATCTTGGCTCACTGCAGCCTTGACCTCCCCAGGCTGAAGTGATCCTCCCACTTCATCCTTCTGAGTACCTGGGGCCGCAGGCATGTGCTACCATGCCTGGCTAATTTTTGTATTTTTTGTAGAGACAGGGTTTCGCCATGTTGCCCAGGGTGGTCTTGAACTCCTGGGCTCAAGTGATCTTCTGGCCTTGGCCTCCCAAAGTGATGGGATTACAGGCATGAGCCACTGCACCCAGCCTGCCTCAGTTTTCTCATCTATAAAATGGGGATGATGATATACTTGTAACATAGGCTTATTGTGAGGAGTTGTATATATGACGTACTTTGAGCTACTGTATGTCAAGTGCTTAGAAGAGTTGATAGTAAGTTCCATATCTGTGTTAACCACTCCCATTACCTGTCTCCTGGTAGTTTTTATAAGAATTAAACAAGATTGTGCACCTAAAGAAATTAATTGGCCAGGCACAGTGGCCTGTAATCCCAGCACTTTGGGAGGCCAAGGTGGGCGGATCACAAGGTCAGATGTTCAAGACCAGCCTGGCCAACAGGGTGAAACCCTGTCTCTACTAAAAATACAAAAAAAAAAAAAAAAAATTATCCAGGCTGGTGTCACGTGCCTGTAGTCCCAGCTACTCGAGAGGCAGGGGAATCGCTTGAACCCGGGAGGCGGAGGTTGCAGTGAGCCAAGATGGCGCCACTGCACTCCAAACTGGGCGACAGCAAGACTCCATCTCAAAAAAAACAACCAAAAAAAAGTCATTCCTAGCCCATGGTGTACACTGTATCGGTGTAGCTGTATTTATATTCAGTCAACAGTTAGGTGTTACTGATGCTTACTGTTTACCGGGTAGACGCAGTAATTTACACATAGTTGCATAAACAGAAAAGCTATTCTGGATCCAGGTATAACCTGTGATAGTGGCACTAAAGATTGTTTTATGGAAGAGCACGCCATTGTTTCTATGATGCTGCCTCCAGAGCTTGTGTTTCTGCTGAAAAGGCCCTTGACTGCCACAGGGGTCGCTGATGTTGCTGTCCTCTGTCTGTCAGGTTGCTAGTTCAAGGATTCCCCCATCTGGTGGTTGTAGCTCACCAAGGTCCCATTCTCATGTGGAGGAATACAAAAGCAAAACTGGCCAGCAGAAACATCAACATTTTTATTATTTCCATTCAGCCAGAGAGTCAGTAGAAGACAGGCCACATAATCATCAAGCCTGTCTCTCAACCGTCCACATTTTTTCCATGAAACGTCTTCTGTAGGCGGCACTTTAACCACCCACGGATTATGATGGGAACAAAGAGAACATTGTTAGGAGAAATGGGATTAATCAGTAGTCCTCACCTTTGAGCCTGGGAATATTTGTATCTTCTTGTGAGCCCTCAGCATCTTAAAACTAACCTTCCACCCATAAGCACTGTGCTTCCCCGTTTATCCTTTTATTTATGTCAGAATGGACTTAATAGGGTTTTTTTATGGGTTTTTTTTAATTCAATGGATAAAAATCTATTACTTTTCTTATTTTTTTTGAGACAGGGTCTCACTCTGTTGCCCAGGCTGGAGTGCAGTGGTATGATCTTGGCTCACTGCAACCTCCACCTCCTGGGCTCCAATGATCCTCCTACCTCAGCCTCTCAAGTAACTGGGACTACAGGCGCCCACCACCACGCCCAGCTAATTTTTTGTATTTTTAGTAGAGACGGGTTTCACCATGTTAGCCAGGTTGGTCTCGATCTTCTGACCTCGTGATCTGCCTGCCTCGGCCTCCCAAAGTGCTGGGATTACAGGCGTGAGCCACTGCGCCCGGCCACTTTTCTTATTTTTTTTGAGACAGGGTCTCACTCTGTTGCCCAGGCTGGAGTGCAGTGGTATGATCTTGGCTCACTGCAACCTCCACCTCCTGGGCTCCAACGATCCTCCCACCTCAGCCTCTCAAGTAACTGGGACTTCAGGTGTATGCCACCATGCCAGCTAATTTTTGTAGTTTTTGTAGGGATGGGGTTTTGCCATGTTACCCGGTTGGTCTCGAACTCCTGGACTCAAGCAATCCATCTGTCTCAGTCACCCAAAGTGCTAGGATTACAGGCCTGAGCCACTGTGCCTGACCCATTATTTATTTTGATGCTCAAATTGTCCCATGTTTGGGCAGTGGAAACTGCTCCTCCCTGGCTTTTGTGTTCTTTTGATATGTTGCCATTATTTTTTGAACAGTTCCTTAATTTTTGATAGAGAAAGATGTTTCAGGCTTGTTTTAGGCCTTCCCTGCTTCAGGATTGAAATGGGACTTTTTCCAAAGAGGTCCCAGGGCACTGTTTTTATTCTTGAGCCATTCCCACCTTTTGAGTCCCCTTCCCACCCACCAGCAGCCGGGTGCGCCCAGGGTATCCTGCCTCTGGCTCTTCCTCTTAGTCTTCAAGTAAAGCTGCAAGCAATTTCCAGCACTGTCCCCACAACTGAACCTGAGTGTTGCCACTACAGTGGCCATAAGGACTGTATCCCATTGGGGCCCCTAGGACAGATCACTGTTTTTCAACTCTCACGTGCTTCTAAGCAACCCCAGGGCCCTGGTAAGGGTATCTACCTTTTCTCCGTCCAATGACTAGAGATACTTTTTGTTTTCAACAACTGAGAAACTAACCTTAGCCAGAGGCATCATCCAGAAGATTCTGTTTACAGTGTCCTGTGATAACAGGAAAAAAGATAAGTCATTTGCCATAACTTGGGAATTATATTGTCTTCGCAAGTGCCATATGGTACAGGGAGTATGGTGTCGGGTCTTTTCAGAGGGTACATTTAACAAAGCAAGTAGCTCTCCCAGTTTCATTCCTCTCTTAGGACAGTCTTACAGTCACATTTTTCTCAGAAAGAGGTTGAAGGTAGGATTGATATTGAGGTTACATATGCAGAGGGGAGGCTGAGTTAGGTACCCCTGGGAGACGGCATGTCACCTCCTGAATGTTTGGTGTTGAATCACACTCCACCTTTGGCCCCAAAGAGTGAAAGTCAACGTTTGGCCTTCTCAGACCTGAAGCTGGGGTGCCTCCACCATGCACATAACACTTCCCATGTAGCCACAGTTCCACACATAAGCCTGTGTGACAATAGGGAAAGGCACCCTGAGGGTCCCAGGAGTGCAAACAGTCACTGGGGGGATTCTGAGTGACTTCTCAGGAAATGCAGCTGACAGCTGTCACCTTGCCCATCTGGGCAGCTCACCACTAGACTCCTGATTCTAGAAAAGTCTCCCACCTCCAGAAAGGGCCCCTTTAACAAGTCTCATTGCCAAAGTGGGATTCTCAAAAGGGCATCAAAGGTATGTTTATTCTGTTTTTTAAAATAAAGAGGCCGGGCGTGGTGGCTCATGCCTGTAATCCCAGTACTTTGGGAGGCCAAGATGGGTGGATCGCAAGGTCAGGAGATCAAGACCATCCTGGCTAACACAGTGAAACCTCATCTCTACTAAAAATACAAAAAATTAGCTGGGTGTGGTGGCGGACACCTGTAGTCCCAGCTACTCGTGAGGCTGAGGCAGGAGAATCACTTGAACCTGGGAGGCGGAGCTTGCAGTGAGCCGAGATGGCGCCCCTGCACTCCAGCCTGGGTAACAGAGCGAGACTCCATCTCAAAAAAAAAAAAAAACAAGAACAAAAAAACAGCATCTAGGAAACAGCAGCTAGGAAAGAATGCTAAAACCTGGTAGAAAGGGTGTGATTAGTTAGGTTTAGGAGTAGCATCCGGTTTTGTTTGATCAAGTGACATGTGTGGTTGGCTTTATGTACACCTTCCATGTTAATTAACAAAGGCAAATTCTATAGAAAAGTAAGAGAGGAAATATATACAACCCACAACTCTGTCCCACAGCCCACAGAATGCCAGTTTCTACAGCAATAAAATAGCTTCATCTGTGGCAGTGAAAACAATGTCATATTTCTAGGCTATAGAATTGATGTAGTCTTATCTTCATCATATTAAAGATAATGTTAGATACCAAGAATTTTCTAATTATTCTGTAAATAAAGGTTTGTTTGGTTTTCATACTGAAGAAAACAAAGTACATTAACGATAGTCACCAGAGTGTACTAGAAGGGAAGTCACAACTTTTTATACTCACAGAGTCAAAAGAAAAAGAAAGAAAGAATTTCATAGCTTTGTCTTTTTCCTCTGGGAACAACTTTCCATGCTTGGTTTCTGAAAGCTGAATAGAATGTATGAGAGGTTTTTAATAGAGCCATTTCTTATGGGACTGCAGGCTCTGACAGAGGGACATTTGGAAGATGGGGGATGCGATGCAATGGTTACTATCTTATTTTTTTTTTGAGACAGAGTCTTGCTCTGTCGCCCAGGCTGGAGTGCAGTGGCGCAATCTCGGCTCACTACAACCTCCTCCTCCTGGGTTGAAGCGATTCTCCTGCCTCAGCCTCCTGAGTAGCTGGGATTACAGGCTCACGCCACCACGCCCAGCTAATTTTTGTATTTTTAGTAGAGATGGGGTTTCGCCATGTTGGCCATGCTGGTGTTGAACTCCTGACCTCAAGGGATCTGCCCGCCTTGGCCTCCCAAAGTGCTGGAATTACAGACATGAGCCATCACACCCAGCCCGACAGTTACTGTCTTAATTAGAATATAGATTTACCATAAGAAATGAGTGGCATAGGCGAGGCCTGGTAGCTCACGCCTGTAATCCCAGCACTTAAAGAGGACGAGGTGGGCAGATCACGAGGTCAAGAGATCGAAACCATCCTGGCCAACATGGTGAAACCCTGTCTCTACTAAAAATACAAAAATTAGCTGGGCATGGTGGCACGCACCTGTAGTCCCAGCTACTCAGGAGGCTAAGGCAGGAGGATCGCTTGAACCTGGGAGGTGGAGGTTGCAGTGAGCCGAGATCACACCACTGCACTCTAGCCTGGTGACAGAGTGAGACTCTATCTCAAAAAAACACACAAAAAAGAAAAAAGAAATGAGTGGCATTTTCTAATGGCATTCAAAAGTTTTTTAGTCTATGAAGACTGGCTAATCATTAAAAAGTTATCATAATCATGGAGCAAACTTTGTTATAAGAAACCTTAATTCTTTTACACTTTTGTTTTTTTAGGGAAAGAGAGCTGTTCATGAGGAAATCAGACCTGTAGATTTCAAGCAGAGAAATAAGGCAGATAAAGGTGTATCATTATCGAAGGATCCTTCATGCCAGACCCAAATTTCAGATTCACCTGCAGATGCTAGCCCACCTACAGGACTTCCAGGTAAAGACTATTTGACCATTATCTTCATCTCTTTCATCTTAAAATGCACATATACCCATCCCTGAGCTGTTTGTGGCACACAGCTTGACATTGGCTAGACGCCAGGGGTGCGTGGTTTCTCAGTTCTGTTCAGATGGTGCTGATGACACCTCGAATGTCATCTTTCTTCACTTTGACTGCTTTCCTACCTTATTTATTTCCTGTATTTACTAAGTGCTTTCTATATGCCAAACACAGTGCTAGACCTTGGGGATGAAACAGGGACTGAATCAGACAGATAGACATGTGGTTCCTGCCCTCATGGAGCTCACAGTCTAGGAGGGCTTAAGACACAGGTGCAGGTAACTGTAATTTGAGGCGGAATGAGGTGTAAGTGGGTGTTGACAGTGATTGGTGTCTCTCTGGGGCAGACTGTATCCTCATAAAGCTTTAGAGAGGAAGAGATCTAGGGGACCTTGAATGTGCTAGGATCTGCAATAGGGATGGGCGTTCGGAGAAGAAAGGCCAACAGGAGCAAAGGCCCTAAAGTAGAGAAGTCCCTCTTGGCAGGTGTGTAGGGATGGAGTGGAACACTAGAGGATGATAAAGGAGAGATGCTGCTGAAGGCCTCAGCCTGCCAGAGGATAGCAGCAGCAAGGTCAGAGCTGGCTTAGGAGGATTGAGGAGCATGCTGTGGGCTCAGGAGACTGGAGGCAAGTCCCAGCCTCCTCCTTATGGTGGCCCAGGAGTGCAGGATCTTCCCCACCTTCCTGCTCTGTGATGGCGGGGTGAGCACCTGGCCTTCTGCCCTCTCTATCTGATGCTTATCTATGCAGTGTGTATAATTCTGAGTTCCAGAAAACAGTCTGACACTCCACATCAATCCAAATCATCAAAATTCACTGGAGTCTCATTCCCCTGAGGATCAGCATCCTGGTTCATAGGCAGTTTATTCATTCATCAAGTATTAAGTACCTGCCATGCTCCAGAAACACCTCTAGGTGCTTGAGATACATCACTGAAAGAAACAAAAATCTGAAAGAAGGCAGACAGTAAACAATAAATATAAATTATGTGGAATGTGAAAAGGTGATGAAATGCTGTGAGCACAGCAGAGCAGGCTCAGGGAGATGGGGAGGGCGGGGGTAAGAGAGCTCTGGGAGGACAGTCTTTCATTTAAACAGGGCTCAGGCAGGCCTCCTGGAGAAGGAAACAGCTGAGCGCAGACATGCCCAGCCATAGGCTTTTAAAATCCCAGCTTTAGGCCGGGAGCAGTGGCTCAGGCCTGTAATCCCAGCACTTTGAGAGGCCAAGGTGGGCGGATCACTTGAGGTCAAGAGTTCGAGACCAGCCTGGCCAACATGGTGAAACCCCGTCTCTACTAAAAATACAAAAATTAGCTGAGCAAGGTGGCGCACGCCTGTAATCCCAGCTACTTGGGAGGCTGAGGTAGGAGAATTGCTTGAACCCGGGAGGTGGAGGTTGCAGTGAGCCGAGATTGTGCCATTGCACTGCAGCCTGGGCAACAGAGTGAGACTCCCTCTCAAATTTAAAAAATAAATGAATAAAATCCCAGCTTTATTCCGTAGCAGCACAGGGGACAGTGCAGTGGTTTACTTGCCTCTTCATACATGTGGAGATGCAGGCAAATTCTGAAAGTTTGTTTTACCACTTAGATGCTGAAGATTCAGAAGTGTCATCTCAGAAGCCCATAGAGGAAAAAGCAGTTACTCCAAGCCCTGAGCAAGTGTTTGCTGAGTGTTCCCAGAAGAGGATTTTGGGATTACTAGCAGCCATGTTACCTCCCTTAAAGTCGGTAAGGGCAATTTATTTTTAAAAGTGGGGGTGGTGGTATGCATAGAAGAAGGTTTTGGAAAGCCACATACTGAAACAAATGATGACAATCATCTCTGTAGCCTTAAGGGTAGGATTAGAAGTTATAATTATTTTCTTCTGACCCTTCCTATATTTTGTAAATATATATGTGTGTGTGTGTATAAAACAATATATTTATATATAATGCTTATAATGATTTTTTTCTACCTTTTTATTTTGAAAAGTTTTAAGCTCATAGAAAACTTCAAAGAACAATGAATGAAGGTCTTCACCTAGATTCACCAGTTGTTAATATTTTGCTTTATCTCTGTTTATATTTTTTTCCTGAACTTTTGAAAATGAGTTGAAGCCATCATTGACACTTCACCCTCAATACTTCTCTCCTTAAAGTACATTCTCCTATATAACCACAATGTCATTATTATGCTTACAGTTTTTAGCATTGATAGAATAGTTTTATACATATAGCCTAAATACAGATATTCCCAATTATCCCCAAAATGTCCCTTACAGGTTTTTTTTTTAAATCAGGATCCTCTTAAAAATTCCGTTGTATTTAGATGTCATGCTGACTTTGTCTTTAATCTGCTTCCCTTGCCTTTTTTTAAATTTTCAAAACATTGACATTTTAAAGACCCTGAACAGTTTAGGTATGCCTTCGTTATTCTTTTGCATAATTTTCTAGACTGTTCCTGTAAATATATTTTTTCCATATGAACTTTAGTGTCATTTTTATCATATTAAAGAAGAGATCCTGTTAGCTTTTTCACTGAGCTGATAATGAATTTATTTATTAATTTAGGAATAGCTGACAATCTTTACAGTAGTCTCCCACTTTTTCTAGTAAACAGAGAGGAATCAGAGACAAAGCTAGCAGGCTGCTGAAACAGGATTTTCCAAGTTGGCAGGACTTTGGGGAAGGGACGGTGCCCGCGGGACCCAAGGTTTGGTCCTCAGATTTTTGAGTCCAAGGACTTTTTTTTTTTAGCAGTTTGCCTGGAGATGCTCAGACTCAGAGGAGCATTTTTACGTGAACTTCTACGTGGGAGTTGAGGCTGATTTATAAATCAGTCACAATTCACAGGGGTATGCGTCTGGCAGGAAAATCATTATGTGTTCCCTCTTGGTATGGAAATCCCTCCAGAAGACCACACTGTAGCTCAGAAGGTTGTATGGTGCACGTGGAACTAGAATGAGGAGAACAGGATATTTTGAAGATGTGTTTTTCTTCACCTGGATGAATTGGCCGGACCTGTCTAGGTAGCTGGTAATTCACCTCTGAAATCAGTACCCTCAGGCTTGGACAGTGCAGTCACTATCCTGGTCTTTGCCTGCCCTCCCCAACCTTTGGAGGCTGAGCAGGCACATCAGCCGGAGCCTTTGTTCTCTCTTAATAGCCATGACTGATTTCTGCTAACTTTAGCTGCCTCAGCTGCCTCTGTGTCAATTAGAGCTGCACCTTTTCCATAGCTCACTGGGTAGCACGTTGAGCAACCATCTCTTGGGGTAGGGCCCTTCTGCAATTGGCTCTTAGCCTTTTTATGTTGATTTTACCAATTTCACTGTAAGAGTGACCTTTTCCTGACTGGATCTCAGCTATGTTATAACCATGTGTGTTACGGCCAGCCAGCTTACTTCTGATGGGATGACCTGGTTAACTGCTCTGTGCCAGCCGACTGTCCCCATCCCAGCCCTGCTCCAATGAACATTTTTCCCTGCCCCTTCCTAAGTTATTTTCTCCTTTTTTTGTAATCATTCATGAAGTCTGTGTCATATTTCTTATAGAAACATGGTTATAGTTAAATTTTTACCCACTTTTTTCAGCCTGTATTTCTCTCTTAATTAACAGTGTAACCTTTTTACCTTCTCTTCCGAATAAAGTGAGACCTTTTATTCCTTGACAAGATGAGATGCTTTTATTTCCCTCATCATATCCCAAGTGTGCAAATTATCTGTAATTTTAGCTCTGGATCACTTGGTTGGTTGGCTGCTTTGGAGTTTTTTGTTGTATCTTTTGGATTTTGCCTCTCTCAAACTACTTTTAGAATTTTAGACCATATGGTAATTAATGATTGATAGTTACAGTGTGTTGGCTGCATGTTATTTATTAGTTACTATTTCTTCCTTCTGAATTATTTACTCTAATTCATTTTTTGTTGCGCTAGAATACTTCCTCAAGTACTTTTTGAGGAAAGGCTACAGGTAAAGATGGGAGACAGTCTGGGTGTGGAATTACAGGGACACAGTCCTTTTCATCCGGACCCCTGTGACATTGCTGCATAGTCTTCCACCATCTAGAACAACCGATGAGAAGTCCAGTATTAACATGATATCAACTGATTTTTTTTGCCTAAATATTTTCTTTTTTTAACCCTTGGAATTCAGACGTTTCATTAGACCGTGTCAAAATAAATATTATCTCTGTGAGAAAGATTTTGTAAAATAATTTTTAAAAAGATGTTCTCGGCTGGGCACGGTGGCTCACGCCTGTAATCCCAGCACTTTGGGAGGCCAAGGCGGGCAGATCATGAGGTCAGGAGATCGAGACCATCCTGGCTAACACAGTGAAACCCCATCTCAACTAAAAATACAAAAAAATTAGCCAGGCGTGGTGGCGGGCGCCTGTAGTCCCAGCTACTCGGGAGGCTGAGGCAGGAGAATGGCGTGAACCCGGGAGGCGGAGGTTGCAGTGAGCCGAGATTGTGCCACTGCACTCCAGCCTGGGCGACAGAGTGAGACTCTGTCTCAAAAAAAAAAAAAAAAAAAAGTTCTCTTTCTATGTGCCTTCCCAGCATCATTTGCTTTTCTGATTAAAAACTCCATTTTTACTTCAGCTAAGGAAATGCCTTTCTGCCATTGTTTGGCTTTGCTTCTGTGTCTGCCCCATTTGCATCTCCTGGATGCAGGGCGGATTTGTTTGTTTGTTTGTTTGTTTGTTTGAGATGGTGTCTCACTCTGTCCCCCAGGCTGGAGTTCAGTGGTGCGATTTCAGCTCACTGCAACCTCCACCTCCTGGGTTCAAGCGATCCTTGTGCCTCAGCCCCCCGAGTAGCTGGGATTACAGGCGCATGCCACCATGCCCAGCTGATTTTTGTGTTTTTTTAGTAGAGATGGGGTTTCACTGTGTTGGACAGGCTGGTCTAGAACTGCCGATCTCAAGCAGTCTGCCCACCTCAGCCTCCCAAAGTGCTGGGATTACAGGCGTGAGCCACTGCGCCTGGCCAGGATGGACCCCTTGAATCTACCCTCCATCTTTTCTTCAGTTTGGTTGTATTTTTCATGTTTATCTCTTGTTCTGAGAGATTTCATTAAGTTGACTTTTTAAAATCACCACTGAGGTTATTTTCCCCTAATAATCTTTTTTTTTTAGCAGGCACTTTGGAGGGCAAATTATTAGTTTGATTTTAGTGTAAAAACTGCCTAGATAGAGTCCTATAAGGAATATATAAAGAACTCTTACAACCCAGTAATAAAAAGACCTCTGTCACCATAGGTTAGTTTTGCTTGTTTTGAAACTTTGTATAGCTGGAGTAAGTCGCTGCATTCCTCTTGCCTGGTGGTGGTGGTTTTTTGTTTGTTTGTTTGTTTGTTTGTTTGTTTTTTGAGACAGAGTCTTGCTCTGTTGCCCAGGCTGGAGTGCAGTGGAGCAATCTCGGCTCACTGCAGCCTCTGCCTCCCGGGTTCAAGTGATTTCTCGTGCCTCAGCCTCCCAAGTAGCTGGGACTACAGGAATGTGCCACCACACCCAGCTAATTTTTATATTTTGAGTAGAGCCGGGGTTTCACCATGTTGGCCAGGCTGGTCTTGAACTCCTGGCCTCCAGTGATCCACCCACCTCGGCCTCCCAAAGTGCTGGAATGACAGGCGTGAGCCGCTGCGCCCGGCCTGTGTCTGGCTTCTTCTGCTCAACATTATGTTTGTGAGATGCATCCATGTTATTGTGATTAGTTTCCTTTATTCATTTTCACTGTTATCCAGAATTCCATTATATGAATATGCCATAATTTTAAAGTTCACGTTACTATTGTTAAGTGTTTCTAAACTGGAAATTACTCCAGACAATACTATGAGCACACCTGTCTGTGGCTTTTGATGAGCATCTGAATGCAGGCCAAACTTGGCCTGCCAAACAGTTTCTGCCGTTGTTTGTACCAGTTCACACTCCCTGCCAAACAGTTTCTGCAATGTTTGTACCGGTTCACACTCCCACGGCAGCACATGAAAGCTTTATTTGCTCCATATCCTCTCAAATTTAGAAATAATTACAAACTTATGTAAAAGTTAAAAGTACTATACAAATAATTTTATGCCTGAAAGTTGCCAAGTTCATGCCATATTACTTCTAAATATGTTAGTGTGTGTTTTCTACAAACAAGGAGATTCTCCTGTGTAACCAGACAGCAGTCATCAAAGTCAGAGAAATTAACATCAGTACATTGCTGCCATCTAATGCTTACTCCCTACTCAAGTTTCACTAGTTTGCTCCAAAAGTGTCTTTTATGGCAGGAGGATCAGAATTAATGTATAGGCCAGGCACAGTGCCTTGAATCTGTAATCCCAGCACTTTGGGAGACCAAGTAGGAGGGTTGCTTGAACCCAGGAGTTCGAGACCAGCCTGGGAAACATAGCAAGACTCTATCTACAAAAAAATAGAAAAATTAACCAGGCATGGTGGCACACACCTATAGTCTCAGCTACTTGGGAGGCTGAGGCAGGAGGATCACTCGAGCCCAGGAGGTCGAAGTCATAGGGAGCCAAGGTTGCACCTCTGCATTCCAGTTTGGGCAATAGGGTAAGACTCTGTCTCTTAAAAAAAGAAAAGAAAAAGAAAAAGAATGAACGTGTAGCAGTTTGTTGTCATGTCTTTTAATCACCTCTAGTCTTTAACAGTTATCAGTCTTTACTTTCGTGATCATGAGCTTTTGAAGATCACAGGCCACCTATTGTGTGGAATGTCCTCCTCTTTGGGGTTGGAGTTTATCAGATGTCTCCTCATAATTAGATTCAGGCTTTGCCTCTTGGGCAGGAAAATCACAGATGAGATGCTGCATTCTCATTGCAGCCTGTCAGGTGGAACACAGTTTTGACGTATTTCATTACTGATCATGTTTACTTTGATCACTGGATTAAGTGGTGTCCATTAGCCTTTTCTACCATAATCTTTCCACTTTTGTTATTAGTAAATATTTAGTGGGGAGAGTCTTTGAAACTATGTAAATATCCTGTTTCTCATCAAACAATTTATTTATTTAGTTAGTTATATCAGTATGGGTTCATGATTTCCTGTTTTACTCCATGAGCTATAATCCATTATTCTGATTACTTATTTTGACCAGTGGGAACCCATTCCCGCTGACTTCTGTGTCCTTTTGACATATCCCCATCATTTCAGCACTTCTTAAATTCTCCCTCCCCTAGCCCTAGAATCAGCCATTTCTCTAAGGTGACCTCATTCCTTTTGGTAGAGGATAGTATGTTGAAATGGCTTGAGCACTAGGTGGGTTCATTGCTAACAGGGTGTCACTGCTCCCCAGTCTTCCCAGTGCGGGCGGGCGGGGTGCGGGGAGAGAGAGAGAGAGAGAGAGAGAGAGTGTGTGTGTGTGTGTGTGTGTGTGTGTGTGTGTGTGTGTGTATTCTATATATTTATTTAGAGCAGTGATTCTCTTTTTTTTTTTTGAAGATGGAGTTTCCCTCTTGTCGCCCAGGCTGGTGTGCAGTGGTGCAATCTCTGCTCACTGCAACCTCCGCCTCCCGGTTCAAGTGATTCTCCTGCCTCAGCCTTCCTAGTAGCTGGGATTACAGGCACGTGCCACCACGCCTGGCTAATTTTTGTATTAGTAGAGATGAGGTTTCACCATGTTGGTCAGGCTGGTCTTGAACTCCTGACCTCAGGTGATCCACCCACCTCGGCCTCCCAAAGTGCTGGGATTACAGGCGTGAGCCACCGCGCCCGGCCTTAGAGCAGTGATTCTCAAACTGAAGGTATCCAATATGGCTATTTGACAGTGCCTTGAGACATTTTTGACTGTCACAACTCAGGGAATGCTCCTGGAATTCTAGCGGAGTCTACACTATAGGAATTGCTGGTAAACATTTTTAAATGCACAGGTGCCACTTACCCCACACACACATGAGAATTATCAGACCTAAATTTCAGTAGCACTGAGGTTGAGAAACCCTGATTTAAAGAATCCAGTCTTTAACGGTGAGAATCCTGGATCCCATCATCCTTCGTATAATTACCTACTGGATCAGTCTCACATCTCTGCTGCTGTTCTTCTTTTGAGGTGTCCTCCTTTCCTTGTTTCGACTCTTTTTTTTTTTTTTTTTGGACAGGCTGTAGTGCAGTGGTGCAATCTCGGCTCACTGCAACCTCTGCCTCCCCGGTTCAAGCGATTCTCCTGTCTCAGCCTCCTGAGTAGCTGGAATTACAGGCGCCAACCACTACACCCGGCTAATTTTTATATGTTTAGTAGGGACAGGGTTTCACCATGTTGGCCAGGCTGGCCTTGAACTCCTGACCTCAGGTAATCCCCCTGCCTTGGCCTCCCAAAGTGCTGGGATTACAGTGGACTCTTGACATGGATACCTCCCCACCACACTTGGGTCTGTCTCTCTAATCCAGGTTGCCCCCTTGCAGTGAGACGACCCTCACCCGCAACAGGCTGCTACTCAGTGGCAACACTCTCCTTATGCTGTTTGGACTCTGAGCCCCTGTGTGAGGGTGAACTCCCCGCGCAGATGCCCTCACCTCTCCACTTAGGTTCGGACACTCACATCAGGCTGCTCTTCTGCGTTTTTGCCCTCCTCACCTCACTCGGAGCCCAAGCTCCAACTCCAGAGGCCTGGGCATTCCTGGGCTTGGGTGACTTCCTCAGCCACCTGTGCTCTGACTCCTCTGCCAGACCTTCTCCATGGAAATTCCATACCCTGCTTGGGTTCTGACACCATGTGGCCTCCACCAGACCAACCCCCTGCCTAGATGCCTTCTGAGTTCTTGGACTGTGACACCCCTCCCAGGCTGCCATGTCAGAAAGACGCCTTCTTGAGAATCACTTTTTATTTCCAAGAACTTTTTGTTCTTTGATTGCTTTGTTTTCATACTATGGATATAGTGCCCTCTTGAGTCACACTGAGGATAACAACTCAGACATTGTAAAAGCTTTCTTCGGTTTTGTGCATTTTTTTCCTGTGGAAAATAACAAATGGTATAAGTATAGAAATGTTTGTACCAGGCCGTTTAGCTGAATGGTTTTTATAATAATGAAGAACTGGAAACAAAGTATTAATAAGTTGCAAGACACTATTTAAAGAAAGAAAAACAACTATTTAAAATTTTAAATTTATTTTACATATACATACATACACAAATATATATATATACACACACAGACATGTTGTTTGTTTTTTGAGACGGAGTCTCACTCTGTCACCCAGGCAGGAGTGCAGTTGGCATGACCATGGCTCACTGCAGCCTCCACCTCCTGGGCTCAAGCAATCCTCTCACCTCAGCCTCCCAAGTAGCTGGGACTACAGGCACGTACCACTATGCCTGGCTAATTTTTTGTATTTTTTGTAGATACAGGGTCTCACTATGTTGCCCAGGCTGGTCTTGAACTCCTGGGCTTGAGTGACTCTCCCGCCTTGGCCTCCCAGAGTGCTGGGATTACAGGTGTGAGTCACTATGCCTGGCCTATTTTACATATATCATGTGTAAATAAATATGCATAGAAAAAGGTTGAAAGACTATTCATCACACTTAACAGTTGTTATCTCCTGGCCATGGTTGCAGGGAGGGGATTTAGGGGAGCTTTAACTTTTGCGTGTTTCTGAATTATTTAAATTATTTTACAATGGACATTTTGAAAGGTGAGGGGGAAACCAAGTATTTTAAGTTTCTTTTTCAGGGTAAAGAAATATTAGAAGTAGGATTGTAAGATGAGAGCTGAGGATGTTTATTTTGTAAGTGATTATACATATGGCATTTATGAAAGCTACAAGCATGATTCCGTTAGCACTAGGCCAGCTGTAAATAAGGTAGGAGGGAGATATAATATTTAGCAAGTTTGGTTATGTGGATTTTGTACTGAACAGATTTCTCTCCCTCTCTTGGCAGGGCCCCACGGTTCCCCTGATAGACCTGGAGCACGTCCTTCCACTCATGTTTCAGGTTGTCATCTCAAACGCAGGCCACCTGAATGAAACCTACCATCTCACCCTGGGTCTTCTCGGCCAGTTAATTATCCGTCTTTTGCCAGCAGAGGTAGACGCCGCAGTGATCAAAGTCCTCTCAGCCAAACACAACCTGTTTGCTGCAGGGGACAGTTCCATTGTGCCAGATGGCTGGAAAACCACCCACCTGCTCTTTAGCCTGGGAGCTGTGTGTCTGGACAGGTAGCCTTGGTCCTCGCTCCTCTAACCACCTGCCCTCTATCCCACCTTGGTGTTTATTTGTTTAAGTTGAAGGTCTGGCTGTTGATTAATTTCGGTGTGCTACAGTTGTGTTGTCTGAGAGTTTTGTGGAAATAGAATTAGGTTCATGAGCAATGCTGTCAACCCACATTAAAACTGTGCTTAACACCAACGTTAAAACAGCTGAGCAGTCTCGACACTGGCTGCTGATTCAACTCTCTAATGAGGCATATTCTGTTTTTAATGAGCGGTAAGTGTGGGCCTTGAGGTTGAAGCAAATAAATCTGTTTTCGTTGTAAAAGTAACATAACCACAACACCAAATTTGGAAAACAGAAATGAAGGAATAAGCTGGGCACGGTGGCTCACATCTGTAATCCCAGCACTTTGGGAGGCTGAGGCTGGTGGATCACGAGGTCAGGAGTTCGAGACCAGCCTGGCCAACATAGTGAAACCCTGTCTCTACTAAAAATACAAAGAAAATTAGCCGGACATGGTGGCGTGTGCCTGTAATCCCAGCTACTCCGGAAGCTGAGGCAGGAGAATCACTTGAACTCAGGAGGCGGAGGTTACGGTCAGCAGAGATCGCGCCATTACACCCCAGCCTGGACGACAGAGCAAGACTCCGTCTCAAAAAAATAATAATAATAAAAGAAGGAAAAAAGTCACCCTGACTTGCACCATTTTAATACATCTGGTGCTGTCTCACTACATTTTCTTCTGTGTTTGAATATGAGTGTGCATGTGCACACACACAGGTGATTTTTATAGATATTTTTGGAAACACAGCCGTAGGGTGAGTATGTAAGTAACAAGTCTTGATTTTGTTTGCTCTTTTACTCACCATTATACGAAAAGCATTATTCTGGTAGTTTTTAAGCTAGTTAATGAATGGCTCTTTGAAGGCTTCTGGGTCTGCCTTGGAGTGTAGTGAGCTCTAACGAGTTGAGTTTGGAGCCCTGTGTACTGCCCCTAATGGAGCTCTTGCCTTCCAGCCGGGTGGGCTTGGACTGGGCGTGCTCCATGGCAGAGATCCTGCGGTCACTCAACAGTGCCCCACTGTGGCGTGATGTCATTGCCACCTTCACAGACCACTGCATCAAGCAGCTGCCATTCCAGCTGAAGCACACCAACATCTTCACCCTGCTCGTGCTGGTTGGCTTCCCCCAGGTACCACACTCTGAAGGCCTGAGGGCCTGGTCACCCCTTCCAGTCTTCACTATACACACCAAAGCCTCTGTGGCTTCCGGATATATAGGCATAGATCTCTTTGGAAGCTTTTTCCTTTGCCTGTACACCTTGCTTTTGTAGTATTGAAGTATTGTCAAGATTATGGGATGGTTTATTCAACTTGCATTTTTAACGGTTAAACATTTGATTCATTTATAGCCAGTAGTTGGCTTTGAATAATAGGTGACTGTAATATATCAGATTACAAAGAACTTCAAAGAAAATTGTCTTTCATTTTGGCATTCACCTTGACCTTATTTCTAATCTTCATGTCCCTCAACTGATTAGGACAAAGGGGGCTGTAAAAACATGGCCTCATCCAGCAAGGACTTAAACCAATTCTGTGCCAGCCTGTGGCAGACTCTTTGGACTTAGAGATGAGAAGATCCCTATCCTTGCGTGCTTGTTGAAATCAGAGGCACAATCAAAGGGGGCTGGGCTTATGCCTAAGAATTCTTTCTTGTCTCCATGTTTGAGTTGCCTTTCTGTCTCTGTCTACCACGTTCTAGGTCCTCTGTGTGGGAACCCGCTGCGTTTATATGGATAATGCCAATGAACCCCATAATGTGATCATCTTGAAGCACTTTACTGAGAAGAACAGGGCTGTGATTGTTGATGTCAAAACTCGGAAGAGGAAAACAGGTACCATGCGTAATTATTTTTTTCTAAGAATGGAAGAAAAATGCCTAATCCCTCCGTACCCTAAAATCAATGAAATTACCTTGGCTCTTGGCCTGCGTGTGATTTTTTTAAAGAACAAGTTATAGCTCCCCGAGCTTCTTTTTCCTTATTTCTGAAATGATGTATTGAATTGGGATAATTTCAAAGGCCCCTTTCCATGCTGTCTTTTTGTGTATATGGCTCTGTGTTTTTTGGTTGGCTAGATATATAGGTTCTGAACATTTAATTTCTCCATTTGCTGGTGTCATTTGCTTTCTATGGGTAATTTAAACATATTTTGGAGTCAGGTGACTACATGGAGTCAGGTGGCTGCACTTAAAATAATTGTATTAGAATTCATGTAACTTTCCATTTTGTTTTATCAGTATAACATTGAAAGTATTATATCACAAATGCCCTTTTGACTTAGTTTGCCAAGGCCCAGGCAATCTGGAGTATCTACCCATTACATTCCCAGTTCTGCTCGTGAAGCCATCTGCATTTTCACTCAGCATCAGCATTAGGCAGTGTCTGTGCTGTTTTCGTGTATGTAAATGTCTAAGATCTTTTCTTTTGCGTATGAACATCCATTTGATCCAGGACCATTTGTTGAACAGGCCATCCTTTCTCCATCCAATTATCTTGGAATCTTGTCGAAAATTGACACACATGTATCTGTCTATTTATGGATTCTATTATGTTTCATTAATCTATATGTCCTTACTTCAGTACTACACTTTTTTTACTATTGTAAATTTATTTATTTATTTATTTATTTATTTATTTATTTTTGAGACCAAGTCTCACTCTGTTGCCCAGGCTGGAGTGCGGTGACACGATCTCAGCTCACTGCAACCTCCGCCTCCTGGGTTCCAGCGATTCTTCTGCCTCAGCCTTCCAAGTAGTTGGGATTACAGGCACGTACCACCACACTTGGCTAATTTTTTGTATTTTTAGTAGAGATGAGATTTTACCCTATTGGCCAGGCTGGTCTCAAACTCCTGACCTCAGGTGATCTGCCTGCCTTGGCCTCCCAAAGTGCTGGGATTACATGCATGAGCCACTGCGCCCAGCCTAACGTTTGTATTTTTAGTAGAGATGGGGTTTCACCATGCTGGCCAGGCTGGTCTCAAACTCCCGACCTCAAGTGATCCACCTGTCTCAGCCTCCCAAAGTGCTGGGATTACAGGCATGAGCAACCACATCTGGCCAGACTATTTTAAATTTGTATAAAATTTTGAAATCAGGTCTTTCAGCTTTGCTCTTTTTCAGAATTGTTTTGACTCTTCTAGTTTCTTTGTCTTTTTGTGTAAGTTTTAGAATCAGCTTCTATAAAAGAGTTTCTATCAGTTTCTATAAAAGAGCCTGCAGGAGCCAGGCGCAGTCGCTTACACCTGAAATCCCAGCACTTTGTAGAGACCCCCATCACTACATAAAATAAGTAGCCAGGCGTGGTGGCATGCTGTAGTCCCAGCTACCTGGGAGGCTGATGTGGGAGGATCACCTGCAGTGAGCTGTGATCTCCACTATAGCCTGGGCAACAGAGCAAGACCCTGTCTCAGAAAAGTATATGGCCTTCTGGGATTTTGATTGGCATTGCATCAAATCTATAGATTAATTTGGGACAATACCTTAACCAGACAGATGTTCCTCAGTTTATAATGGGGTTATGTCCTGATAAACCCATTATAAAGGTTGAAAAATCATTACGTTGAACCATTGTAAGTCAGGGACTTCTATATTGAGTGCATGGTACATCATTCAGTTTATTTAGAGAATAAATTTAGGTTTCTTTAATTTCTCTCAGCCTGGCATATTGGGGTATGAGCCGTCTTCTCTTATTTTCTGATTGTGGCAATTTATGTCTTCTCTTTTTGTTTCCTAGATAGTCTAGCCAGAGATCTGTCAAGTTATTTGATCTTTTCAAAGGACCAACTTTGGTATCATTCATTTTTCTTTTATTTCTGTTTGCTGTTTCTTTGATTACTGCCCAGATAAATTTCCTTATTTCTTCTGGCTTTGTGTTTAATGTGTTGTTACTGCTTTTCCGGTTTCTTTTCTTTTCTTTTTTTTTTTTTTTAATAGGATCTCAGCATGTTGCCCAGGTTGATCTCAAACTGCTGGGCTCAGGTGATCCTCCTGCCTTAGCCTCCCAAAGTGCTGGGATAACAGGCATGAGTTACCACACCTGGCTGCTTTTCTGGTTTCTGTCTTTTTTTTTTTTTTTTTTTTTGAGATGGAGTTTTGCTCTTGTTGCCCAGGCTGGAGTGCATTGGCATGATCTCAGCTCAATGCAACCTCCACCTCCTGGGTTCAAGTGATTCTCCTGCCTCAGCCTCCTGAGTAGCTGAGATTACAGGCACATGCCACTATGCCCGGCTAATTTTTGTATTTTTAGTAGAGACAGGGTTTACCATGTTGGTCAGGCTGGTCTCGAACTCCTGACCTCAGTGATCCACCCGCCTCAGCCTTCCAAAGTGCTGGGATTACAGGTTTCTTAAGGTAGGAGCCATCACTGATTTGAGACCTTTCTTCCTTGGCAATAGAAGAATTTTAATGTTGTGCATTTCCTTTTAAGTATGACTTTAGCCACATCCACTATTTTTTTTTTCTTTTTCGGTGTCCCTTGGATTCAGTAGGAACATCTCACAATTTTTTTTTATGATATATTGTCATTTTCATTTAGGTCACAATATATTTTCCAATTTATCTTGTGATTTTTTTTTTCTTTGCTCTGTGGATTATTTAAAAGTTTGATGTTTAGTTTCTTAATATTTGGGGGATATTCCAGATATCATTTGGTTGTTGATTTCAGGTTTAATTCCCTTGTGGTCATAGAGCATATTTTTAATTAGTTCAGTCCTATTATGAATATTATTACAATTTGTTTTATTGTCCAAAATTAGGTCTGTTTTCATGGAGTTTCCATGTACACTTGAAGAGAATGCATGTGCACTATGTTGTTGGTGGAGTATCCTATAGATGTTAATTAGGTCAAGTCAATGGATAATGTTATTCAAGTCTTCTGTGCCCTTACTGATGTTTTATCTACTTGTTCTAACAATTCCTGAGAGAGGACTATAGAAGTTTCTAACTGTAATTGTATGTTTCTCTTTTTCTTATGAAATGTCCCTTTTTTATCCCTAATGATATTCCTCATTCTGAAATCTAATATTCGTACAGCCTCTCTTGCATTTTTAAAAATAGCATTTGCATAGAGTAGTCATCCTTTAGTATCCTCAGAGGATTGGTTCCAGGACTCCCCACAGATAGCAAAATTCGTGGATTAGTCCCTTATAGTTGGCTGTTCATATCTGTGGGTTTTGCATCCAGAGGCTCAGCCAAACTCAAATCAAAAATACTCTTGGCCCTTCATATCCATGGGTTTCACATCTTTTCACTTTAACCTACCTGTGTCTTTACATTTAAAGTGGATTTCTTGTCTTTTTTTAAAAAATCCAATCTGATAATCCCTGTCTTTTAATTGATGTGTTTAGACCATTTACATTTATTGCAGTTATCAAGATGGTTGAATTTAGGATTTTTTTTTTTTTTTTTGGAGACAGAGTCTTACTCCATCACCCAGGCTGGAGTGCAGTGGTGTGATCTCGGCTCACTGCAACCTCCACCTCCCAGGGTTCAAGCAGTTCTCCTGCCTCAGCCTCCCAAGTAGCTGGGATTACAGGCATCTGCCACTACATCCAGCTAATTTTTGTATTTTTAGTAGAGATAGGGTTTTGTCATGTTGGCCAGGCTGGTCTTGAACTCCTGAGTCAGGTGATTCGCCTGCCTTGGCCTCCCAAATTGCTGGGATTACAGGTGTGAACCACCATGCCTGGCCAGTATCTCACTTTTTGAAGCAAAAAAATGTAATGTATTGTGAGATTTATGTCATATAGAAGTAAAATGTGTAACAGCACAAAGAATGGAGTGGAAAATGTTGTAATGTTCTGACACTATATGTGAAATGGTATACTATTATCTGAAGGTAGACTATGATAAGTTAAAGGCGTTCAGTGTAAACCCTAGAACAACATTTAAGAAATTATTTGAAGGTACACTACTGTAAATCCTAGAGCAACCACAACAAAACCCAAAAAGATAAAGAGCCAATAGTGGAAATAAAATGAAATCATTAAGAAAAACAAAATAACCCAGCACTCTGAGAGGCTGAGTGAGGTGGGAAGATGACTGGAGGATAGGAGTTTGAGATCAACCTGGGCAACATAGCAAAATTCTATCTCTACAAAAATAAATAAATAAATGATGATGAGGCCAGGAGTTTGGGGCCAGCCTGGGCAGCATAGCTAGACCCCATCTCTACTAAAAATAATTTTTTAGAAAGCCAGGTGTGGTGACACACACCTGTAATCCCAGCTGCTGTGGATGCAGAGGCAGGAGGATCACTTGAGCCGAGGAGATCAAGGCTGCAGTGAGCTATGATCATGCCACTGCACTGTAGCCTAGGTGACAGAGCAGGAGCCTGTCTCTTTAAAAAAAAAAAAAAAAAAAAGGCAGGGCACAGTGGCTCATGCCTGTAATCCCAGCACTTTGGGAGGCCGAGGCGGGCTGATCACTTGAGGTCAGGAGTTTGAGACTAGCCTGGCCAACATGGTGAAACCCCGTCTCTACTAAAAATACAAAAATTAGCCACACGTGGTGGTGTGCGCCTGTAATCCCAACTGCTAGGGAGGCTGAGGCAGGATAATCACTTGAACCAGGGAGGCGGAGGTTGCAGTGAGCCAAGATTGTGCCATTGCACTCTAGCCTGGGGAACAAGAGCGAGACTTCTCTCAAAAAAAAAAAAAAAAAAAAAAAAAAGTGAGATATTGCTGGGTGCGTAGGTCTTATACCTGTAATCTCAGCACTTTGGGAGGCAAGACAGGATCACAAAGCTTGAAGCCAGGAATTCAGTGCCAGCCTGGGCAACACAGCAAGACCCTGTCTTCTACCACCCCCTAAAAAACAAGAGAGAGAGAGATTTCAAGAGATTTTAAAATGAGAAAACATTAGCTTTTATATTTAGCTATCTATTTTTCATTGCTAGTGCTCTTCATTCCTTTGTAAAGATTCAGTTTTCCATCTGGGATCTTTTTTAGTTTTGTGGGGGGACGTGAAAAACTGCGCTGAACATTATTTATAGTGCAGGTCTGCCGTGACATAATCTCTCAGTTTGTCTGGGGGACTTTTTTTTACTTCATCTTTGAAAGATAATTTTGCCAGGTAAAAAATTCTAAGCTGAGTTTTATCTTAGCAAATACTTTAAAGATGTACTTAAATACTTTAAAGGCTGGGTGTGGTGGCTCACACCTGTAATCCCAGCACTTTGGGAGGCTGAGGCAGGCCGATAACCTGAGGTCAGGAGTTTGAGACCAGCCTGGCCAGCATGGTAAAACCCCGTCTCTACTAAAAATACAAAAATATCTGGGCGTGTGGTGGACACCTGTAATCCCAGCTAGTTGGGAGGCCAAGGCAGGAGAATCACTTGAACCTGGGAGGTGGAGGTTGCAGTCAGCCAAGATCACGTCATTGTACTCCAGCCTGGGTGACAAGAGCAAAAACTCCGTCTCAAAAAAAAAAAAAAGAAAAAAAAAAGATGTTTGTCTATTGTCTTCTGGCTTGTGTAGATTCTGGGATGAAGTCTGCTGTCATTCTTCTTTTGCTACATTTTTGTAATGTCTCTTTTTCCTCTGGCTATATTTTTAGCAATTCAATTATGCATGTGCCTTGACATGATTTTCTTTATGTTTCTTCTGCTTAGGTATTTATTGAGCTCCTTAGATTTACAGTTTTCATCAAATTTGGAAAATTTTTGACCATTATGTATTCAAATATTTTTTCTGCCCCCACCCCCATCTCCACTAGGACACTTCCACTCTCACTGTTGGAAAGACAAAGTATTCCCAGCTCTCTGTGAGCTCCAGGAATTGTTCTGTCTACTGTAGCTCTTTCTTCTGCCCCAGATAGTTTCCTTTCACAGAAATGTGCAGGTCAGTATGCAGCCACAGACTCGTGAGTGACTCTGTGGATCTCCGGAGAGCTCTCCCCAACCCACCCCTCTCTCTCTGCATCTCCCTGCTCTGATATTCTGCCCTGTACATTCTAGCAGCCTTGACCTCCCTGAACTCTGATCTCTGTTTCTTTAATTCATTGAGACTGCTGGATTCTGCCTGGATGTTTGCTTCCCACTTTGCAGCTTGGAAATCGTCTGCAGATAGCTGGTGCTATTGGAGGGCGGATCTAGTTTATATCCCTTCTCTCAGGGATCATAGTCCTATACTACCTTTTGCCCAATATCTGCAAGCTATTGTTTCATGTTTTTTCAGTGTCCTGGTTGTTTAAGGTGGGAGAGTAAATCCAGTCTCTCTTGTTCTGTCTTGTTTGGAAATGGAAATCTCATGTGTACTAATTTTTTTTTTTTTTTTTGAGACGGAGTCTGACTCTGTCACCCAGGCTGGAATGCAATGGCATGATCTTGGCTCACCGCAGCCTCCACCTCCTGGGTTCAAGTGATTCTCCTGCCTCAGCCTCCTGAGTAGCTGGGATCACAAGCGTGTGACACCACACCTAGCTAATTTTTGTATTATTAGACGGGGTTTTGCCATGTTGACCAAGCTAGCCTTGAACTCCTGACCTCAAGTGATCCACCCACCTTGGCCTCCCAAAGTGCTGGGATTACAGGCATGAGCCACCACGTCCGGCCTCATATATGCTATCTTTAAGAACTTTTGTTAACACCTGTGGAGATGGCCTGCTTATGCACAATAGTAAGAATGCAAATTGTCCCACTCAGTTGCTTGATGGATAGGTAGCCATTACTATTTTTGTGTTTACCTGCAAGCTGGCTTTATTGGCTAAGACTGAGCCCGAGAGATTTATGTTTCTGCAGTCCCTACTTTAGTAAGGCATGTTACTATAGAAGAAATAGCTGCTGGAAGCATGAACTGTACTTTTGTGCCTTTCTTTTTCTGCCTGATGTCACCCTTCAGTGAAGGACTACCAGCTGGTCCAGAAGGGAGGAGGACAAGAGTGTGGTGACTCTCGGGCCCAGCTGAGCCAGTACTCCCAGCACTTTGCCTTTATCGCCAGTCACCTTCTGCAAAGCAGCATGGACAGCCATTGTCCCGAGGCAGTAGAAGCAACTTGGGTCCTGTCCCTGGCCCTGAAAGGATTGTATAAAACACTAAAGGTAATGGGGAGCTTCTCCAGTTGGCAGTGGATCTGGCTATAATTTGACATCTGCATGGGGATTAACTAGGAGGAAATGCCATCTGATTTCGATGGATGGTAAACCATAGGATCTTGATTATTTTTAGAAACGCGTGGGCCTTACACACAGATAACTTCAAAGAGGAAATACAATTTTCCTGATGGCTTCTCTGTCTTTCCATTGTTTCAAGGAATCTGATACTACTACTTCATGGGAACACAACTTTGTCAGACGAGAAGAAAAATTGAAAAGTTTCTTACTTTCCTCTCTAAATGACAATTCCTGTGCTTCATCATAGAAGATGAAGGGAAGAATAGAGGGAGCTAGCCTCCTAGGGGATGAGCAACAGGTTTGACAGTTGGAGTGGAAGGAGGTAGACAAGTTGAAAAGCTGGGCGATGGCCAGGCACAGTGGCTCACAGCAGTAATCCTGGCACTTTGGGAGGCCAAGGCAGGTGGATTGCCTGAGCTCAGGAGTTCAAGACCAGCCTGGGCAACATGGCAAAACTCCATCTCTACTAAAAATACAGAAAATTAGCCAGGTGTGGTGGTACGTGCCTGTAATCCCAGCTACTCGGGAGGCTGAGGCATGAGAATCACTTGAACCCGGGAGGCAGAGGTTGTAGTGAGCCTAGATCATGCCATTGCACTCCAGCCTGGGTAACAGAGCAAGACTCCCTCTGTAAAAAAAAAAAAAAAAAAAAAAAAAAAACCTGGGCAATATTTGGCATGGAGATGAGCAGCTGACTTATGAGAATTTCCCATACCTGAGAGGCAGCGATTGGGAGGAATGATTTTTCAAGGAAACATATGTCAGCTCCCTTTTAGGATAATCTTCCCAACAGAGGATATCCATGAAAGGAGGAGCTCAGTTGAAGGCTGTTCGGTGGAAGCACTGATAGGGAGGTCATGGAGGGCACTCAACACCACAGCAGCTGGCCTCAGTGGCATTTCAGCTCTGATCCAGCCCTGGGAGTTTGTAGTTGTAGAATTGAGACCATTCATCTGCTGTTTCTTTTGTTGGTTGGTTTGTTTGTTTGTGGGTTTTCTCTGGCATTTCTTTGTTTGAGACAGGGTCTCGCTCTGTTGCCCAGGCTGGAGTATAGACCTGTGATCACGGCTCACTGCAGCCTCAAATGCTTTGGTTTAAGGGGTCCTCTTGCCTCAGCCTCCCAAGTAGCTGGGACTAACCACAGGCATGCACTATCATGCCCAGTTAATTTTTTTTTTTTTTTTTTTTTTGGAGAGACAGGGTCTTGCTAAGTTTCCCAGGCTGCTCTTGAACTCTTGACCTTGAGCCATCCTTCCACCTCCGCCTCTTGAAGTGCTGGGGTTACAGGCATGAGCCATGGTGCCCAGCCTGCTGTTTCTTTAGTTCATGACGTTTATCACAATGTGCTACTGTTTCCATTGTTTACATCATAGTAGGAAAGGGAAAATAAACTCCCTAAGGGCAGCAATAATTTCTGTCTTTGAATCCTTCATTCAGCAAATATTTGTTGAGCACCAAGGGCCAGATGGAACTGAGTATGTAGTGTTGGAGCCAGAAAGAAGGTCCCTGCTCTCCTGGAGCTTGTGGTCTGACCGGCAAGAGAGACAACAGGGGGCCTGCGAGAAAAACTGCTGTGGGTCAAAAAAAGCCTTTTTCTCTAGTAAAATTTGAACCGATAGATAAGGAGTCAGCTTTGGGAAAACTGGACAGAGCATTACACGCGGAGTGAGTAGCAAGCTCCAGGCCTCAAAATGGAACAAGCGTGGTGGTCAAGGAGCAGAAAGAACACCTCCCAGGCTTTAGAATAATGCAGGAAAGGTGGGGCGCAGCCGGAGAAGCAGGCAGGGACCTTGTAGGTCTTTGTCAGCCATGATCAGAGGCTTGGATTTTAGCCTAAAGAGCCCCAGACAGCTTTTGGAAGTTAGAGCAGGGGAGTGTGACATAAAATAGGCTTCATTCAAAAGTATGTGTTGAATGGACGAATGAATGAAAGAGTGAATGAACAGACTGAGTTACAGCTAAGGTTGTACCTTCTTCACTCCAAGGCAGTCACACATCATTCTTCTTCTGCTTGGCAGGCTCACGGTTTTGAGGAGATCCGTGCTACTTTCCTTCAGACCGATTTGCTGAAGTTGCTGGTGAAAAAGTGCAGCAAAGGGACTGGCTTTAGTAAAACGTGGCTCCTCCGGGACCTGGAAGTAAGAGACGAGAGGGACTCCTGCTCCTCTTTCCTGGTGCAGATGTGCTGGCCTAGGAGTTAGAAGCATCACCGAGTTCCAGCTGCTTCTGCCCTGTGCACACTCCTTTAGTACAGTGTTGAAAACTCCCTTGCTTCTGTATTCCCTGTTGGAAATAGGGATTATGACACCTGTCTACCCCTGTCAGGGAAAATGAATTTAATGTTTGTTCAAAGAACAGTGGAAGAGAAGCATTTTATGGAAACACATGATTAACCATTATATCATGGTAATAAAGTATACCCTTGAATTCATATTTCCCTTTAAAGTTGCTTTCAGCCAAAATCAGTCTCTAAATTTGTCCTCACTTATGTTTATTTGTACGTAGGATTTTAGTTGATCATTATAATTTTATTACTGTTCCCCGTAGACCTTAGAGTTTTCTTAGCGGAACTACTGTGGTTCCCTGTGGACTTTCTGTGCCCAGTGCCAACTTTCGGCCCAGGAAAGGCTGCCATCATGTAGGAGGGAGTGAGCGGCCATTCAGGCCCAGGAAAGGCTGCCGCCACATAGGAGGGAGTGAGCGGCCATTCACAGCCCAGCAGAGGCTGGAACCTGCAGAAACAGCTCTCAATTGCCAGAAGAGGATTTGGTTAGGTTTAAGGAAAATGTGCTACAACATATTAATGGATAATTTGGAGAGTATTTGAACTTTTATTCTTAGAGAATATTTTAAATTAAAATTTTTTATTATTAGAACTATATTGCAGAAAACTTTATAAAAGAAAAAAAAAAACCCTCCAAACTCTATATTCCAAACACAGCTGCCATTAGCGTTTTGTGTATTTTCTCCTTCTCGTTTTGTTTCTATGCATTTTGCGTTGCATGTGTAAATCTAGACTGCATCATGAGCATCGTATTCAAATAAATTGATGGCATGTGGGCTGCTTTCTAGGTTCTGATGTAGTTTTCATAATATTTGTTATGGCTACATATCATACATGAAGGTGGCTTTCAGTTTTTTTGGTATTAGTGCTTCACTGAGCATATTATGAAAATAACTTTGTATATTTTACATTATTCGTAACAGATGAGTTGCTGGGTGAAAGCATATGAGCATTTCCCTGGCTCTTTACATTTTGCCAAAAGAAGTTCTAAAAAGGACGATAGCAGTTGATACCATCTGTGGGGAAGTGAATAAACACAAAGGTTCCCATAGTGTTCAGTTAGTATTTCTTCGGTCACAAAGTGTAATTAAACATACATTCGTGTTTCTTTTCTAATTTCACATTCTTCAGGTAGATTCTGATGTCTTAAAAAGTTAGGCCCAATATTTTCATGATTAAAGGACTGTACCATCTTCCCGCCCACTGAGTGCTCACATTCAGCTGGATTTTCTTTCTGTGTAGATTTTGTCCATCATGCTGTACTCCTCAAAAAAGGAGATCAACGCTTTGGCTGAGCACGGAGACCTAGAGCTGGATGAGCGAGGGGACCGAGAGGAAGAGGTGGAACGGCCAGTCAGCAGCCCTGGCGACCCAGAGCAGAAAAAGCTGGACCCCCTTGAGGGCCTGGATGAGCCCACCAGAATATGTTTCTTGGTGTGTTCTTGAGTCATCTTGTGGCTTAGGAGGGGCTTCTGAGGGATGGCTTCTCTTTGGCCCGGGCCATGTTTTAGCCTAAACATGAAAATGCTTCTGTCTGCTGTCCTGAGAATTCACTTCCTAAAGACTCAGTCTTATGTTGTGCAGAATTGATCCAGAAGAACAGAAAAGCCCCACAACAATAGTTCTTAATATTTTGGGTTATAAACTCAAAAGCTTTAGGTCCTCTCTCCCCATAAAATACACATTCAAACATGTATGTAAAATTTTGCACGAATTTCAAGGGCTTACTAAAGCCCTAAGGCTCGTCCATGAACTCTATACGATAGTTCCTTCCTCATAGTTTCTCAGAAATACACTCTTACCTTTACTAGGTAATCTATTCTTCCTCAGAACAATATGAAAAGGATGAGGGCTTGGACTTCAGAAGTTGTGACTAAATGAAGAGTAAACAGAATGTAGCGTAGAATGTCAGAAAAAGCAAATCCCAGCCAGGCACAGTGGCTCACACTAGTAATCCCAGCACTTTGGGAGGCTGAGGCAGGAGGATCACTTGAGGCCAGGAGTTCAAGACCACCCTGGGTAACTTAGCAAGACCCTGCCTCTACAAAAAATAAGACTAGCCAGGTGTGGCATGCGCCTGTAGTCCTGGCTACCCAGGAGGCTGAGGCAGGAGGATCACTTGAGGCCAGGAGTTCAAGTTTACAGATTTTGCAGGAGAGTTTGCATCCCCTGGCACAGAGCATACATGCAATTCTGTATCCATGAATAAGTAAAAGCTATGAATCCAGTTGGCAAAATACAGAAAATGATGATGTCATTGATACTAACAGAAAAACTACTTTGATCAACATTGCTGACAAGTTTAAGTGCAGGTTAAAACTCCTCTTGCCTTTCTACGCTTTTGGGTACTCAGTGGTATGAGCTATGATCACACCACTGCACTCCAGCCTGGGCAACCAAGTGAGACCCTGTGTCAAAAAAAATCAAAAGAAAATACAGTGCCTATGTATGCGCTAGTTGTCAAACTTGAGTGTAAAACAGTTATAGAGACGCTAGCCGTGAATACGATGTGGTAAGTATCTACTGTCAGCATTGTATTTTGTTGACAGGATATTTCTTTGGGGTTTTAGTGTTTTATAATTTCCTTTGAAGTTACAGTCGTAGTGTAGGTGTTATAGTCCATGTTTTGGTGCTTACAATTTTATATGCTTTTTAAACTACCCATATAATGTTCCTCAATTATAACCTGTGGCAGCTTTTGCTATATTGTCTTCTCAGTTTTGAGTTCAGTTGATCAATACCGTATTGAAGCACTGTTAATGGTTCTTGTCTGCGTCCTCCCCTGGCCTCCAGATGGCTCATGATGCCCTCAATGCCCCTCTGCACATTCTCCGGGCCATATACGAACTGCAGATGAAAAAGACCGATTATTTCTTCCTGGAGGTTCAGAAGAGGTAAGGGACATTTCCGTGCAGCTGAAGTGTGGCCAGGGAGAGAATATGTGAGGGCGGGAGGGTGTGCGCCTCCTGGCAGCAGCTTCTGGATCGATCGACGCTCCGACAGGCCGGGAAGCAGTTGCTAGTCCTTTGTAAGGCGAGGTGGGAGGTGGCCTGTGCTACGTTACCTGGATCATCTTCAAAGTGCACTGTGGTTCCTCTTTAAAACTTATGTTTGTAGTCGGCCTCTGAGAGGAAACTCATTTTACAGACACAGAAATTGGGCAGGCACCAAGATGTCTCTCATGTGTAATCCCAGGGAGCAGACAGCACAGAGCAGGAACTTCTGCTCAAGATATTTTTAAAATTAAGAACATTCCCTTTCTCTTGGCCAGGAAGTTCAGAGCTAGTTTTTGGGCCCAACTTTTTAATTTGCGTAGAACTTTACATATCTGCAATCCAGTCTCCTCCATCCCCCGTATCCTAATTTTGACTTCTTACTCATTGTAAATTCTCATTTAATTTTTCTTTTATTTTGTGTTTCGTGTTTCTCTTTTATTAGTTTCTTATATATTGCCTAAAAGCCTTTATGAGGTGAAGCAGGGTTGCATTAGTTAGGGTACAGTCTAAGCTGCGGTAACTAAGAAACCAGAAATATAATGGATCAGGGCAGATAGAATTTGTTTTTCTCTCACATAACAGTCCAGAGGTAGGCAGAGTCTGGGGTGGGTGACAGCTCTGCTCCACAGAGGGACCCAGCAATCCCAGCGTTCTCATTTGTGGAGTGAAAGCTCCCTCGGCCACCCCACCTCTCGGTTCTAGCCCAGAGGAAAGAGGGGAGGTGGAGAAGGGAGTGCACCATTAGTCCAGTAGACTCCAGAGGTGGCACACCACCTCGCTCACCTGCACTGCCCAGAACCCAGGGGCATCAGCACATCTAGCTGCTAACCATGTCTCTAGCTGGGTGACTGTGGCTCTTGCTAAAACTCAGGGAGCTTTAGAGAGAGAGAAGGGCCACCGAGTTTCGGCCAGAGTCGTCCACCTGTTCAGACTGCGTTCAAATAAGGCAAACACCAGGCTGTAACCATTCCAGCTGTTTCTGTACCTCACTTCTGTTTTCTGTGTGTCAGTTTCCTTTTTCTGTTCGTAAACCTCCAACCACAGCAGTGGAGTCACTCTGAACCCATTCTGATTCAGGAGCTGCCCAATTCGGGGATCACTCTTTGCTCATTTAAACTCTGTTAAATTTAAAAAAAAAAGGAGAGAAGGGGAGTCCAGGCATGGTGGTATGAGCCTGTAATCGCAGCTACTAGGGAGGCTGAGGCAGGCAGGAGGATCGCTTGAGCCCAGGAGTTCCAGGCCGGCCCGGGCAACATAGCTCCAACACGTCATCTCTAAAAAAAACAAATAAATTTTTTTTAAAAATGTTTTTTTAATGAAAATAAAACATTTAAATTAATTTTAAAAATGGAAAAGATAGAAAAGGAGAATGGATTTTGCAGGAGAGTTTGCATCTCCTGCCACAGAGCATACATGCATTCTGTATCCATGCATAAGTGAAGGCTGTGAATCCAGTTGGCAAAACACGGAATATGATAATGTCATTGATACTAACAGAAGAACAACTCTGAAGAACATTGCCAACAAGTTTAAGTGCAGGTTAAAACTGGCCTGTCTACACTGTTGGTACTCAACTTTGTGCTGCCCTTCTGCAGGTTTGATGGTGATGAGCTCACCACAGATGAAAGGATACGGTCCCTGGCTCAGCGGTGGCAGCCCAGTAAGAGTCTGAGGCTGGAAGAACAGAGCGCCAAAGCTGTGGATACAGACATGATTATCCTGCCATGCTTGGTATGTCACCCGACCTCGGACCCAAAGTATCTGCACCCCATCCCCCACCCCATACCACCACTGTAAGAAGGCTAGACCTCTGTAATGGTGGTCTTGGGTTTGCAGTCCCGGCCTGCACGCTGTGACCAAGCCACTGCTGAATCGAACCCTGTGACCCAGAAGCTGATCTCCAGCACAGAGAGCGAACTGCAGCAGAGCTATGCCAAGCAGCGCCGTAGCAAGAGCGCCGCCCTCCTGCACAAGGAGCTGAACTGCAAGAGTAAGAGGGCTGTCCGGGACTACCTCTTCCGAGTGAACGAGGCCACAGCTGTCCTGTACGCCCGCCACGTGCTTGCATCCCTGCTCGCCGAGTGGCCTAGCCACGTGCCAGTGAGCGAGGACATCCTGGAGCTCAGTGGCCCTGCCCATATGACCTACATTTTGGATATGTTCATGCAGCTGGAAGAAAAGCATGAGTGGGAGAAGGTAGTTATGCAGACTGAGCTTGTGCTCACCCACCAGGTTCTTCCTCTGCCCCACAGGCTTCCTCCAGTGAGTGCTTCCTGGAGCGAGGCTACCTGTGTGGCTGTGCAGCTCCCTGACAGGTGTGAATGCAGCAAAGGTAGGGTCACTGTATCCTCTCCCAAGGATTGGGCTAGTGAGGAACTCAGGGGCCCTGAGCGCGATTTCCAGCTGAACCAGAAAGCTTTGTCGCCATCTTCCCAGTTTCCAAGTGCAGAAATCTTGAGGCACATTCGGTAGCTCCTTTTTGATCCTGTCCCTCACCCACCTTCACACACACACACGCAGTCCATGAGGAAGTTCATTTGGCCTCTCAGCCTTGCTTTGTCCATCTGAGAACACCACCAGACCTCGAGGTCTTTTCCCGGCCTTGCAGCCCTGCAGGTGCTGGCAGGCTTGCTCTAGCATATCTATCTTTCGGAAGGGACAGAGGGAGCCACCCTGCCTCTACTAGGCCCTTGCATAGGCGTGTCCTCCCACAGTTCTTGCCACCTAGAGCTCCCAACCCTGCACCTCACTCCAGGCATCGATTACATTGTGTGGTCATTATTTATCCATAGGCCAATCCACCTGCTTGGCTGGGGACTCCTTCAAGGACCAGGACCCTTTATGATTGGTTCAGTTAGTTCTTTCAGACCACCTCTAAGTAGCATCATTCTGAAAGGACTGCAGTGTCCTGATTGACACCAAGAGCCTGGTCAAGTGAGAGGTGGCTGGTGGAGTTGGTTTTGGGTGGTGGAGTCACAGAGGCTCGTCCTAGGTCTAAGATGATGCCAGCACCTTTGGGTGGAGCTTGGGTTGAAGTAAACTGTCCCTTCTTCCTGATGCCACTTGCAGGCCCTGACCTTATCTGTCTGCTTCCCACCAGATCCTGCAGAAAGTGCTCCAGGGCTGCCGAGAGGACATGCTGGGGACCATGGCCCTGGCTGCATGCCAGTTCATGGAGGAGCCAGGAATGGAGGTGCAAGTGAGGGAGTCGAAACACCCGTATAACAACAACACCAACTTCGAGGTAAGCCTGGGGCCGGCAGGCCCCATAAGAGCGACTGAGCCGCAGAGACCTCGTCAGCCCCTCCGTGCTCAGCCCCTCCATGCTCAGCCCCTCTGTGGCTCTCTCCCGCTGGACAGCAGAGACCTGTCCAGGAAAGTGCTTCCTTGAACAAACTGCAGTCTGCCTCCCTGAGGCCAGGGATTCTGTACAAGCAAGTCTTCTCTTCTCCGGACTTTTCTTGTTTTAATAGAAGAAAATGGGCCACCTAGCCCTGGAGGAGAGCTTTACTTTCCCTGCGGCAGGCTCCTCAGAGTGAGTCCTTGGCTTCACAGTGAGACAGTGAGTCTGAATGTGGTCCAGGTTGGACCCTCACTCTTCAGCTGCCACCTCATGACCTGCCCCCACCGTGGATACTACAGCCCCTTTTTAAAATTTCCCAGAACTGAATCAGAGTCTCATCTTTTCCATCCTTAACTTTGTGCCTGGGCAGGGAGGTAGGCATTTTGATGAGGCAGGAATGGGGCAGCCTCCGTTATTCTCATTGACTTAAGGCCATGTAGTCCCTTTAGCACTTTTTTTTGAGACGGAGTCTCACTCTGTCGCCCAGGCTGCAGTGCAGTGGTGTGATCTCGGCTCACTGCAACCTCCACCTCCCGAATTCAAGTGATTCTCATGCCTCAGCCTCCCTAGTAGCAGGAATAAAGGCACCTGCCACCATGCCCAGCTAATTTTTGTATTTTTAGTAGAGACGGGGTTTCACCATATTGGCCAGGCTGGTCTCTAACTCCTGACCTCAGGTGATCCACCCGCCTTGGCCTCCCAGAGTGCTGGGATTACAGGCGTGAGCCACCTCACCTGGCCCCCATTAGCGCTTTTAAAAATGTTGGAGAGAAAACTGAAATGTTGGAGTTGCCCAGGCATCTACTTCTGAGTGGAAGGCACCTGCAGCAGCGAAGGTGGATGATGAAAACCGATTTAGAACTGGGTTATTGGCCAGCTGAGATTTTGTTTTTCAGAAGTATAACCTGTCTTTCTTCCAAGTCTCTTCTCTTGTCATGTTCCTGGGCTCCAGCCCCACTCCCTTGGTCCCATACAGGCACATGTGGTCAGCCACCAGGTTCGATCCCAAAGAGGTCTTGTCTTCTCCACTGACCCTGGACACCCGTTGCCCTTCTCTGGGGTTCCTTTTGCTGCTACTTTCTGATTTCCTCACTTTTGCCTCAGCCCAGCCTTGCTCCACACCAGCTGTCAGTGATGCTACACTGTGCAAGCCTCACCAAAGCTTTCCAGGGTTTTCCCTGTTGTCCAGAGTCTGAGTGCCTCATTTTCATGCCCAGGGCCTTCAGTGTCTGCCCCTGCCAGTCTCTCTGGAGTCAGGTCTTGTCCCTGTTCCTGCTTCCCAAGCATACGTGCCCATGTAGCACACCCTTTACTCCAAACACGCCAAGCTCCTTGCCATTCCCTGAACATGCTAGACCTTCACAGGGCTGTTACCCTGTCTGAAATGCACCCCATGCACTCAGGTCCACCTTGTCTCCCACTCCCGCCTTCTCCTAACAGGGTCCTCCTGTCCTCTTCACTCTTCACAGCAGCCTGACACTCTTTCTCTGGGGCCCCGTGTTGCCTGCCCCGCTGTGCCTCCCTCGCACCATATTTGCAGTCTGTGCATGCTCCTCGCCCTAGCTGGACTCTGCACTCCTGGAGGCCAGGGCTGTGGTTCACTCATTCTCACACACCCGGGTCCAGCCACAGGACTCGGCATGGGACAGCTGCAGTCAGTGTCTAGTGAGCAGCATCGACAGATGTGTTCTCCATTTCCCCTCCCTAGGATAAAGTTCACATTCCTGGTGCCATCTACCTCTCAATCAAATTCGACTCTCAGTGCAACACAGAGGAGGGCTGTGACGAGTTAGCCATGTCCAGCAGCAGTGACTTCCAGCAAGACCGACACAGCTTCAGCGGGTCTCAGCAGAAGTGGAAAGATTTTGAACTTCCAGGTAGTGAAACAAATACTCGATTAGATAGGTTCTTCACAGGCAGTGTTTAAACTTAATATTGAGAAGGGAACTTACTGGAGAATGTTGAAACCCAACACCACTGCTGCCATTCCCTGTTGCTTCAGTTCCTGATGGGCCTCTGATCCTTGTGTGCCTAGGAGACACTCTGTATTACCGCTTCACCTCCGACATGAGCAACACCGAGTGGGGCTACAGATTCACCGTGACGGCCGGACACCTGGGGCGGTTCCAGACAGGTGTGTGCTCTGGGCTTTGCGTTCACACCATCTGCCTGCCAGGGACACTCCATGGCTGTGGGTGCCATGATGTCACTGATCTTGGTTAAAATCAAAGCAGGTACTTGTCTCTCACACTTTCCAAATTTGTCTCACAAGCCCCACACCTGTCACTCCTGAATGTGATTTCATTGGCTAGTTGTAAACTTGAATGGCCAGCTATGAGAAGCATTCTGTCAGGACCCGAAAAAGATGCTTATTCTCTTAGAATTTGCCAGGGCATTTTGAAAAAAGGAGGAACTGGAAATATGACCCCTGTGTTATTTTTACAAAAGCCTTAATTTCAGCCAGAATTTAAATGATCACAGTTATTAAAATTTGAGCAGTTTATAAAATGTAGAATTCTTAACGTACACAATTGTTATACTTTATTTAATAATAATATTACTTATTACGTATCTCTGTTTATATATCCGTGTTTTGGGGTGTTGGCCAGGATTCGAGATTTTGAAGCAGATGTTGTCAGAAGAAAGGGTCGTGCCTCATCTCCCATTGGCAAAAATTTGGGAATGGCTGGTGGGCGTGGCCTGTCGCCAGACTGGCCATCAACGATTAAAAGCCATCCACTTACTTCTGAGGATTGTGCGATGCTGCGGCCACAGGTAAGCGGTGTCCCGGATGGCAGCCCTTTGCCAGGCATATGTATCCCCACTCTGTGGCTGGCCCTTTCTTGCTGTTAGTGGTGACTTTGATGAAAAGACATTTGTGGCTTTAATGTCTTCCAGTTTTTCAGTCATTTGCTTTATGCTAGCGTTCTTGGTGTCTTATTTGAGAAATGTTTGCCTTACTCGAAGGTCATGAAGATATTCCCTGTTATCTTGTAGAACTTGTTTTTCCTTTCACACTTAGAGGAGTATCTGCCTGGAATGCATTTGAGTGTATGATAGAAGGGGTAAGCATCAAGTCAGTTTTGTTCCATTCGGATCTCCACTTGATTCTATAGATTTTTTTTTTTTTTTTTTGAGACAGAGTCTCACTCTGTCACGCAGGCTGGAGTGCTGTGGTGCGACTGTAGATCAATTTGATGAGAGTCAAGATCTTTAGAACATCAAGTCCTCTAATCCACGGCCATTATATATTCCTCTATTTATATTCCTCTATTGTTTAGGTCTTAGTAATATTTTAGAGGTTTCTATGTAGAGGACTTAACATTTTGTTAAATTTATTACTAGGTATTTAATGTTTTTGATACTATAATTGGTATTTTTTAATTTTAGCTTTGTTTTTGCTGATGTACAATTAATTTTTGTATATTGCCGTTATATCCAGTGACCTTACTTTGTTCATTCTAAGACTATATATGCAGATTATTTGGTGTACAGTCGTGTCATCTGTAAACAAATGTTATTTCTTCCTCTCAATGCTTAGACACTGTTCTTGCCTTTTGCGCTATAGGGAGGACATATAGTGTTGAATTGGGAATTGTAGACATAATTGCCTTATTCCTCATCTGTGAGAGAAGGTGGTAGTGACTGCGCCATATATGTTGTCTGTCTGCCTGGCCCCCACCCTCCTTGCTCAGAACCCTCCCTGTCAGGAGCTCATTCTTCCTCTTTCCTGCATTTCTAAGGCACACAGACACAGACACACAGAATGCTAGCCAGAGTGCAGTGATGATATTTGAAGTAACAGGTTGTCTTCTCATGGAATATGGAACTGTCATTAAAATAACAAAGGACTCTCAAAGTCAGGGGAGAGAACAAGATGGCTTGTGTAGTCAGTCCATAAGCAGCGTGGAGAGAGAGGGGAGAGCTGGGCATGCTTGCTGTTACCCCCGTGTCCTCATACACAGACAGGATCACTCAGCCCCACATGGGCTTAGCTCTGTTCACTTGAGCGTCGAGTCCAGTAAGCACAGTCTGGTTGAGCAGTGCTTATGAAACATGGAACATCTCCATGGTCTCCTGGCTGGTGGGCCCTTCTTGCCTGCAGCAGGAAAGAAGACCTGTGCCGCAGCCTGCACAGTCTGCTGGCCATTGGCAACCTTCTTTCCAGTGGGGACAATCCCGCACCCTCTGTCCCGAGCCCGGAGGGAACTCCCAGCATGCCTTGCCACCCTAGCCTCTTTCATGCGTGCTCCTCATAGAGTGAGAGAGGGGCCTGCCTGAGGGCTTGGCCCGGAGGCCACACACAAGGGGCAGTCCTCAGGGGAGGGACCTTCTCAGCTCGCAGGTACATTGTACCTCACATGCTCATGCTTCTCTGAAAACCCAGCTGGAAAGCTATCAGAATTTTCCTGTTTGTTTTATGAAGATTTATTCCTCTGGGAGAAAGAGATTGGCTTCAAGATAACAATTAAATATACACAATAATTTTTCAAGTCATAAGAGAAAAAGCAATTTTTTTTAAAAAAAAGCAAAATCCAATATTATATAATTATATATGGCCATATAACAAGTTCTAGAATATTATTTATTTCATAATTTTTCTTCTCCAAAGGATATTGAGTTGGAATTAAAACACAGCCTTCCTCTGAGTAAAAACACACACACACACAAAAAAAAAACCCCTCAGTTCATTCTCTCAGCAGAGGCTCTGCTTTACTTAGGGAAAAGCTTTCTGCCTGAGCAACCTTGCAAGCATCTTGTGTTTCATAAGCCCACCTGAAAATCATAACAATGGTAGTCATCGTTACCTTTTTTTTTTTGAAACATGGTCTGGCTCTTTCGCCCAGGCTGGAGTGCAGTGGCACCATCTCAACTCACTGAGGCCTCCACCTCCCGAGCTGAAGTGACCCCCCTCCCCTCAGCCTCCTGAGTAGCTGGGACTACAGGTGTACGCCACCACACCCAGCTAATTTTTCTGTTTTTTTATGGAGATGGGGTTTCGCCATGTTGCCCAGGATGATCTCAAATTCCTGAGATCAAGCAATCCCCCCACCTTAGCCTCCCAAAGTGCTGAGATTGTAGGTATGAGCCACCGCTCCTGGCCATCTTTTTTTTTTTTCTTTAATTTTTTTTAGAGGTGGGGTCTCATTCTGTTGCTCAGGCTAGAGTGCAGTGTGGCACCATCATAGCCACTGCAGCTGTGAACTCTTGGGCTCAAGTGATCCTTCCACCTCAGCCTCTTGAGTAACTAGGACTATAAATATGAGCCACCACGCTTGTCTTAAGTGTTCTTTTCTGTTTATAAAAGCAGTGAGCATTGTAGAAAACCTAGAAAGCTGATAGGGTCAACTGCTGGTGGCATCTTTTGTTGTGTCTGTTTACTGTTGTTTTTCTTATGCATAGAGAAAATGCTGTATATGCAGGTTATTTTTGAATTTTATTTTGTATATGTAGTTTTACATCTTGCTTTTTTTCTTTTTTCTTTTTCTTTTTTTTTTTGAGACGGAATCTCACACTGTCACTTGGGCTGAAGTGCAGTGATGTGATCTCAGCCCACTGCAACCTCCACCTTCAGGGTTCAAGCAATTCTTCTGCCTCAGCCTCCCTAGTAGCTGGGATTACAGGCGCCCACCACCACGCTCAGCTAATTTTTTGTATTTTTAGTAGAGACGGGGTTTCACTGTGTTGGCCAGGCTGGTCTCCTGGCCAACTCCTGACCTCGTGATCCGCCTGCCTTGGCCTCCCAAGGTGCTGGGATTACAGGCGTGAGCTACCGCGCCCGGCCACATCTTGCTTTTTTTCATTTAATATTTATCTTGAGATGAGTTCCCACTGTCACTGGAAAGTCTTCATAACTTTTTTTTTTTTAAGAGACAAGGTCTCACTCTGTTGCCCAGGCCAGAGTACAGTGGTGCACTCATGGCTCACTGCAACCTCCAACTCCTGGGCTCAAGCAGTCCTCCCACCTCAGCCTCTCGAGTAGCTGGGTGCTGTCACACACAGCTAGGTTTTTTTTTTGTTTGTTTTTTGGGGTTTTGTTTGTTTGTTTGTTTTTAATTTTTTGTAGAGACAGGGTCTCGCTTTATTTCCCAGGTTGGTCTCCAACTCCTGGGCTGAAGTGATCCTCCCACCTCTGCTTCCCAAAGTGCTGGGATTACAGGTGTGAGCCACCATGTGTAGCCCGTAACATCCATTTTTCAAGATGCACAGTAATCCCCGTGAGCACATTTCCGACCTCCTGTTCCCTTGGAGCCTGGTTTTAAAGTTTAGGTTCTGCCCCTTTCCTTCTTTGCTGTTGGTGACTATTCGTGGCTGCTTTGTGGGGAGCATAGGTGAGGCGACTTTATAATCATTTGTACCAGCTGTGGGAGAGGGAGGGTCTGAGCTGTGGTTCCTGCCAGCTGTAAGCCATGTGACCTTGGCATGGCTCTCAGTAAACTGACCACCTCCGGGGCTCCTCCTGCAGTGACCTGTGTGACCTTGCGCTGTTGAAGCCCCTGTGGCAGCTCTTTACCCACATGGAGTACGGCCTGTTTGAGGACGTGACGCAGCCCGGCATCCTCCTTCCCCTGCATCGTGCCCTCACTGAGCTCTTCTTCGTCACCGAGAACCGTGCCCAGGTGAGGCCTGAGGTCTGGGCAGGGAGCCCGGTGCCTCCATGTGCGTTTGCTCCCTCTGCTACCCAGGGCAGAAGCTGCTGCCTCATCCGAGCCTGAGTGGCCAGGGTCTCGACAGGCCACACAGGACAGGCATGGCTGAGAGTCTGAGGCTCTCGCCTCTCCCAGGCCTGGGAAACCCTCAGGTCAGCTCTGAGATTGCTTATTTTGTCAGGCCTAGAGCCAATGGGGGAGAAACTGCCCGGGATCAGCCCTTGACAACAGTGAGTTTTGGAAAATAAAACGATGGGTTATTTCTGCTTCCTTCTCTTTTTTTCCTCCCCTCAGCACAATAGACTGATTGAATGTGGGAGCTGAAAGGGCCTTTCAGAGTTCTTTAGCTTCCCTCTCCTTTCACACATGAGGAAACTGGCTTGAGGAGGGGTCCCGGCCTGGTCACCCAAGGGCAGGTGGAGGCAAAGGTGACCCCGGCACCGGGCACCTGGCTCCCGCCAGGGTTCTGAGCAAGGCAGTGCCACGCGGTGCTGGGCGGCGTGAGTAGCGTCCGCCCATGAGAGGCTTCTGCTTTCGCAAGCAGGTGTCCCAGGTGGTCTGGGAGAGCTGCACTGCGCATCTGGCGCTGTCACTCACAGCCCCTGCTCTCTCTCTGCAGGAGCTTGGCGTGCTGCAGGATTACCTGCTGGCCCTAACCACGGACGACCACCTTCTCCGCTGTGCGGCACAGGTACTCTCTCCACCCCAACAGAGCTGGCCCCCAGGCTGGGGCGCCACCATCTCACCATTGCCAGGGCAGAGAAGGTCTGTACATTGCGTCTGAGTAGGACAGAATCCACCCGGAGCTTACACAGAGCTTGTTCCAGTTCAGTCACTTCCTCCTGGTGCTCAGAGAGCATGCACGAGCCCCATTTATCAGAGTCATTCACTCTAAACTGTGGGGTCAGAAGAATTTGTGTCTTTAAAACCAAAACAACCGATGCCTTAAATTTAGTTTGGCTGATTCTTGAAGTTTCCGTGGAGTTAGATTTCACATATTTTTAGATGTGAGTTGCTTCTCTGGTAGCGGAACTCCTCTTCTGACAGCTGTTTGGTCTCAGGACGCTTCACACTTTTCACTGACTGAGGAGCTCAGAAAGCTTTTGGATATGTCTATTATGCATATATCCATATGTGCCATTAGAAACGAGATTTTCAATTTAAAAATTAAGCAAAAGTGTAAACCTTTATCAATTTATTTTTTTAAAGTAGTGAACCCATTTCATGTTAACATGAATAACACGTCTTGTGAAAAACGACTCTAACTTTTCAAAACAAAGTAATTACTGAGTGCTCTGGGACAAATAGGTGACCAAAAAAGAAAAAAGGAATGCCTGCAGAGGGTGGCGCTGTTGTGTTCCATCCTTGCAGACCCCTCTCATGTCTGGCCTCGTAGAAGACAGCTGGATTCTCATGTTCTCATGTCTGCTTCTGCAGTCAGTCAGATCACACGTCAGGCTCTGGAACACTCCACCATATACTCAGGAGAAGGAAAGTCAAAAATGAACCTTGCAGACCCCAAAAGGGTCTCGGGAGTCGCCTGGCCCCAGAGTACATTTTGAGAACCTTGGACTCCTTGAATATCATCGCGTGTGTGGCCCAACACCCCCACCCCCCCGGAGGACAGCTAGGGACACTGAGGCTCACAGGGTTACCCGTGGGTGGACACCCAGCCGGGACACCCAGCCAAGAGCCCTGCCTGAGCGCGGCGCTCTGTCCCTTGGAAGTAGTCTCCGAACACACCGCCCTTTTGCAGGAAAAGGGTCTTCTTTCCTGTTGTAGGCTTTGACGTGTACGCTCGGAAGTGGAAATGCCCCCAGCCCATACCGAAGAGTTTGTGTGAATTCACCCGAGACCTGTAGGCAGAGTAGAAACTCCCTTACCCCCAACAGCTACCTACCAGCATTGCCGCCGCCACCCCAGGTTTCATCACATCATGTAACGAAATTTTGATATTTGCCCGTCCTGGCCCCAAAGCTCAGCATGGCGGCTTGCCTGTGGGCGGGTCCCTCTTGCTGCCCCTGTCCAGTCTCCATTTCCTCCTTACCCTCTTCTGACCCCCCCCACAGCCTGTTGAGTGTACTGCACCAGTGTCCTGACGTTTCTCCCTGACACGTCTCCCTGCCAACCCCCTCTTCCTCCCTCTGCCACCTCCACCCTCTTGCTGCCCAGACCCTGAAGGCCTGACGGGCCTGGCCTCGCCTCCAGGGCATCTCAGTGCCCTCCTGGCCCTGTTTTCTCTACTCCCTCTGGTCCCCAGCACTGGCTGTTCGTTTCCTGTGAGTGCCTTGCCCTTCCCCACCTGCATCTTTGCACTGTTTTCCCCAGAGAGTTTTCCCAGACCTCTGCAGACAGCCTTCTGAGCCTCCGCCCTGGGACTGCCCCTCTGGGCAGTGATGATTCCTACCTACATTTGGAGCTTTCATGTGCTCTTAATAGCATTTTTTTTCTCTCTCCACTCTGCAGGCCTGTGGGGGAGGGGAACACATCTGGTTCCCCTCCTCCGTCCCCACATCCTCAGTGCTCAGCTGAGGGTCTTATCAGCACTCACTGAATGAGGGAGTGGCTCCCGACATTGGCGACAACTCTTTTTCCCTCTACAGGCTCTGCAGAACATTGCTGCCATCAGCCTGGCCATCAACTACCCAAACAAGGCCACCCGCCTCTGGAATGTGGAGTGTTAGCCCTTGGTGGGGCGTGCATGGGACTAGTTCATCTGCCACAGGGATTTTAGAGCAGACATCTAACCTCATTCAGGAAAACTCCTGTAGCGCCAGTGCCCAGCTCTCCTTGAGCTGACCACTCCAGTTAGGATGCCAAGCAGCCACGTCTCCAAGAGCTCCCGTGCGTAGGCTGGACACAAGCACAGGCTGTAGCATGGTGAAAATAAGCCAAGCAGTGCAGAATGCCTCAGAAAGGGTGGGCAGGGGGCCCTTAAGAAGGTTCAGAGACCAGCCTTCTCCAGAGGCTGTCACTGCAGGAGCCGTGGGCCTGGGAAGACTTGGAAGCGGCCTCTCTCAACTGGTTTCTGTCTCCGTGGAGCTGGAACTGCCTGCACTTGCCTTCAGAGGGAGGCACAGTCCACCCAGATCCACCTTTCCAGCAAGACCCCCAGTGGCTGCCCAGCCTGGGAGCACCTCTTTGCTTTTCACACCAAACCAAAACTGGCGAGAGCCCCTCCTAGCCACCAGTGATCCCCAAGCATCCAGTACAGAACCAGGCATCGAGCTAGCTCCCTGCACGGCCGCACCCTCCCAGAGAACTCCTTGAGGAGAACAAGTGCCCTTGGGGACAGCCGGCAGGCGCCCCTGTACGTCTGCTCATGCACCAGGCAGCACAGCCGCAGTTCCTCAGTTGTTGTTTTGACATATTTCAGTTTCCACCTCACGTTTTTAGAGCAGAACCACACTGTCTCCCTGGAGGGGCTCGAGGGCATGACCGGGGACTGACCATTCTGTGAAAGGAGCAGAATGTGAGGAGCACGCGTGAGCTTATGTACCGTGAAGATGATCAGAGGATATCTTATTTTAAGAGTAAAAACCCACATAATTTTATTTCTGCTTGATAGTCATGGTAGTCTGTCATACCCACCTCTGGGACTCTGCGTGGCTGTTTGGCTGTCACTTGTAGCAATAACGACATTAGTTCTAGTCAGTGCTGTTTTACATTTTTCTTTTGATGGGTTTAGTCTTGCCCTGGAGTGCCGATGATGATTCTCCCTCCAGAGCCACGCTTGGGAACATGAAGCAAGTCTGGCGTGTGGGCTGCGTGCCGGCCTTAGTGGGACCCGTGGGGTTGGAGCATGCCTTTAGGGGCAGTGTCTGGGCCGAAGCACGTCCCACCACACAGTGCCAGAGCCAGAGAAGGGGCCCCACCACCAAGGCCAAGCTTGACCAGGTCAGCATTGCCATGGCCCAGTGTGCCCCGTGGCCTCTGAAGATCCCTCTGTGCAGGGTCTGCAGGGATCTGGATTGCAAGGGCCCAAGTCTGCAGGTCTGGAAGCATCTTCCTATAAGAGCACTTTCGCCTTCTGGGTCAGGACTCCAAGGTGCAGCGGGCTTCACAGCCCTACAATTGGGTTCTCAGCTAAGCCCCAGAGTTCTGGTAGAACCATCCCGGGGCGGGTGGAGGGTGGGATTTAAGGGAGACGGGAACACATGGGGCAGGTCCTGGAACTTGGTGGCCTGAGGACTGAGGCCATTGCCCTGGTGGAAAGGCCTGGCCTGGTTCCTGTGGCTTGGGACCTGAATAGGCAGGTGCTGCTGGCTCCGTAGAAACCCTTTTCCCATCTTTTGCTCTTTGCCAAACCTACCTTGCTTTGGGAGCTGCCTGCACCACCCCAGAGAAGGCCCCACCTTCTTCATCCCTCAGACCCGAGGAGGCCTCCCAGTAAGGAGTTTCCCAAGAGGGGACTCACAGGAAACAAGTCTTAGTGCTTGGGAGGGAGGCCCCGCTGCGTGCTCAGACTCACAGCCAACCTGGAAGGTAGACGAGATAGCGCCACCCACGCCCCTCCACACCCCAGACTCCGAGTAAAGCGGGCGGTAGGGCCGGAGTCACCTCCCCTATGGCAGTGGCCGCCGCTGTACTCCATCCTCCCGTCAGGAAGATCAGCTGTAAATAAACGCTGGGCTCCCCAGAGCACCTGTCCGCCCACTGCCCTTGCTGTTCTGGGATCTTCGCTGCAGTTCACGGGAAACAAGCCTGAGTCCGCTCGCACCCGCGGCTGCTCTCCCGGCTCGGCCCGGCCGCCTCTGTCTCCGGCCACCGGGTGGCGCTGCCGAGCCAGAGCCGCCGCGTCCCGGCGCTTTCCAGGAGCCCCAGGCCCGGAGGAGGCGAAGCCCGCAGAGCAAAGGTGGAAACACGTGCCTACGCTGTAAAGAAATCCTGTTCCAGAGCATACCTGTTGTACAAACAGACACTGTTCCTAACGAGAGGAGTGACGTATTTTCATCACCGTTTTTAATTTGTTTTCTTACGGGTTTACGATTTTGAATTTTTCTTATTTGGTTGAAAGAATTTTGATTCTATCAGCCTGAGTGAGTTCAGCCTGTAAAAAGGATGTTAAGCTGTGGGTAAAATATGCAAACGAAAAGAAATATATTGTACAAATTCTATATAATAAGGTACGCCTGTGTGTGGACTGGTCTCTCCCTCCTCCCTCCGCCCCGCCGTGTCTCGTGGAGCTCAGGCGTGGAGTTTACACCGCGCCCGAACGGATGCGAGGCGGAGACTCGGGGGCTCAGGGCTGAAAGAATGGAAAGCTGCTGTAGGCCTTCCTCCAGATCATCCTCCTCCCAAGCCCGAGCCAAGCCCCCGCCCCTCCCCCGGCGATCCCAGGGCTTTGGTTCTCCCCCCACCCCCCTGCGGCCATCCGGAGGTTTCCACACACAGGGCGCCGTGGGGGCCTCTGCTCTTCGGCCAGGCTCCCCTGGCCCCACCGCCCGCCGTGGACCTCTCTGGTAGCCCGCAGGACACTGCGGAACCCGGAGGAGGAAGGCAGGGCCCCAGGCAGTGCGCCTGCTGCCTTCCTGGGACTGGCTGCCTTCCCGCCGGCCTTTGGACCCTGCCTCTGGCCCAAGTGTGGCCTGAGGTTTACCTGGGCCTCCCGCTTCCTCCTCCTCCCCGCCTCTGCTTTGCCACGCGCTGCTCTGTCTCCTTCCCAGAGGCATTCTGGGGCTGAGGACTGTCTGGCAAATTACAGAAGCGTGCCTTCTTGGCAGGGGCTGCACTTAACCAACCTTTGAGGCCCATTTGTTCCAGCCCGACAGAGTCTGACACATCCCCCAAAGCCCCAGACTGCTTTCGGGGGAGCCCCAGGCAGGGTCTGGACCCAGCCTCAGCCCTCACTATCCCTCAGCCCAGAGAGAAACCTGAGACTCAGCAGGACTGGGTGCTCCCAGGCCTGTGCCGCTCCCGAGGCGATCTCTAGGACCTGGTGCAAATGTTGATGCCCTCCCCGCCTCACCTTGTCCGGAGCACACTGGGGCTTCACTCTGAAAAGCAGGCGCGTCCATCTGAGCCCTGCCCGGCTAGTGTGACTAAGCCAGCACCAGCGGACTAAGAAGAAGGCCACAGAGAGCCAAGCAAGTTGAGCCCAAGCTTTTAGAACTGAAGAGAAACACAGGGTTCCACCAGCTGAGCCTCATTTATCGAGAGGCAGAAGCGGTGGGAAGTCAGCCTCGAACCACGCGGGAGGCGGGTGGAGAGCCCCGGCCCCCAGCCACGGCTGCAGCACAGAGGCGCTCAGCGCGCGCTCACCCGCTCAATACATGCCCTCCACAGACCTAGCGCCGGGGCTTCATGCGGAACCACCAGTGAGCAGCCCAGGCACTCAGACGGAAGCCAAGTCAAAACACGGCCCTGGCCAGGTGTGGTGGCTCACGCCTGTAATCCCAACACTTAGGGAGGTCGAGGTGGGTGGATCACCTGAGGTCGGGAGTTCGAGACCAGCCTGACCAACATGGAGAAACCCCGTCTCTCCTAAAAATACAAACTTGGCCAGGCCTGGTGGCGCATGCCTGTAATCCCAGCAACTCAGGGGGCTGAGGCAGGAGAATCGCTTGAACCTGGGAGGCAGAGGTTGCGGTGAGCTGAGATGGCACCATTGCACTCCAGCCTGGGCAACGAGAGCAAAACTCTGTCTCAAAAAATAAAAATAAATAAAACACGGCCCTGTCGCTTCCCTAGCTGCCATCTCCTACCCCTCCCCTCCTTCCCTGCTGACAAAATCCAATTTTTTGCAGGTGGTGACTCTACACAGTTTAATCTCAAGAAAGGTAGGACTTTCTACTAGCTCATGAGGAAAGTCATGATTAAGTCCTCCCTGCTCCCTCCCCCTGCCCACCCCAAGTAAGCTCGCTTCTGTGTCCCAGCCCTTCTTGCAGTGAGGCCGTCAGAGGTGTCTGAACCAGAGCAACTCCATTTTGAATAGGGGCTGGGTAAAATAAGGTTGAGACCTACTGGCTGCATTTCCAGACGGTTAGACATTCTGAGTCACAGGACGAGATAGGAGGTCGGCACAAGATACACGTCATAGAGGCCCTGCTGATGAAACAGGTTGCAGTAAAGAAGCTGGCCAAAACACCAAAACCCAGATGGCCACAAGAGTGACCTCTGGTTGTCCTCATTGCTACACTCCTACCAGCGCTGTGACAGTTTACAAATGGCATGTCAATGTCAGGAAGTAACCCTATATGGTCTAAAAAGGGGAAGCATGAATAACACACCTCTATTTAGCATATAATCAAGAAATAGGCCAGGCACGGTGGCTCATGCCTATAACTCCAGCACTTTGGGAGGCTGAGGCAGATGGATCACGAGGTCAGGAGTTTGAGACCAGCCTGGCCAACATGGTGAAACCCTGTCTCTACTAAAAATACAAAAATTAGCCAGGCATGGTGGTGCGTGCCTGTAATCTCAGCTACTCGGGAGGCTGAGGCAGCAGAATCACTTGAACCCAGGAGGCGGAGGTTGCAGCGAGCCAAGATCACGCTACTGCACTCCAGCCTGGGCAACAGAGTGAGACTGTCTCAAATAAATAAAAAGAAGTAACCATAAAAATGGGCACCTCGAGGCTGCTCTGCCTTTGGAGTAGCCATTCTTTATTTCTTTCCGAATAAACTTGTTTTCACTTTACTCTGTGGACTCACCTCAAATTCTTTCTTGCATGAGATTCAAGAACCCTCTCTGGGGTCTGGATTGGGACCCCTTTCTGGTAACAAGGCGGCTCTATGGCTGCATTCTCCAGAGGCTCTGGGGAAGGAGCCCTGCTCCTACGCACTCCCTTTGTGCCGAGACGAGATGTCAGCTGGAGGCTGACAAGCCAACACTCTGGGGCGGTGGGAGCAGAAAGCCAGGAGTCTGACAGTCTGACTCCTTCATTCCATTGTTTGAGCCCTAGAACTACCCATCTCCAGGAGGTGGCAAGGTGTCCTCTCACCTCAGCGGAAAGTATTTCTGACCCAACTTTATGCAACAATTTGGCTCCAGTAGGTTGAAATAATGTCACAGCTCTCTTCTCATGACATTAAATATGGACAGTATATGGAAAGGAAATGTAAAAATTCCAGAAATAAAAAGGCCTCCAACAGTGTCCAGTCAAGCCACAGATGGCATCCAGTTGCTCCATTACCAAATTCTCCTTCTCTCTTGGGGTTCTTGGCGTACGTAGCTTTGCTCATGCCCAACCAGCTTCTAGACTTCCTATCTGGAGGCGCTGTCCCAGGATTCGTTGGGATTTCTTCAGTTGCAAGTTAAAGACACTCCAAACTAACTTAACACGGAAATGGATTGACTTACAAAACCGAAAAGCCCGAGGGTTGCCTCTAGCCCCAGGCAAAGCTAAATTCCAGGGACTCAAAGATGTCGGCTCCCTCTCTCTCCCGCCCTCCATCCTGCCTCTTCCTCCTCTTCCTCCTCCGCTCATTCTCCTGCCCTGCTTCCACCTGGGTTTTCAGGCAGGTGAGGGCGAAAATTAAAGCACCAGGTGATGGCTCTCTCCTCTTCCTCGCGGCCACTGACCACCTCTGATTCCCCAGTGGAGAGGGCTTCTCACTCTCTCTTCATGTGAGGCTTCCCAAGCTGTTGGCTGGTATCTTCTAGCCGTGAGTTAATTTACTGTTTTTTGTTTGTTTGTTTTGTTTGTTTGTTTGAGACCGAGTCTCACTGTCACCCAGGGTGGAGTGCAGTGGCGCGATCTCGGCTCACTGAAACATCCACCTCCCGGGTTCAAGCGATTCTCCTGCCTCAGTCTCCCGAGTAGCTGGGATTACAGGTGCCTGCCACCACACCTGGCTAATTTTTTGTCTTTTTAGTAGAGATGGGGTTTCACCATGTTAGCCAGGATGGTCTCGATCTCCTGATCTCATGATCCACCCGCCTCGGCCTCCCAAAGTGCTGGGATTACAGGTGTAAGCCACCACACCCGGCCAATTTACTGTTTTAAAAGCTACCTGGGAGACCCATGAGTTTGTGTTGTCACCTCAGAATTGCTGAGCAACACAGCATCCATGACAATGGCAGAAGTACCCACGCAGCCACTGTGAGCCTCGTCAACACATCAGCTGGACCACTCAACCACTCGGCCAGGCAAGATGCCCCCAGATGTGGCAGGCAGCTTATCCACTAGTGAGTTTAGAAATTTGCAACAGAAGTGGAGAGACAGACATTTAAAACAACTGATCTTAAGACCAGAAAAAGGTGAAATGCAGAAGAATGAGCACATGTCTATCAAGCAGATGCAAACAGAAAATCAGAGTTATTCAGCATCAGGCAATATAATTTGAGACAAAATTAAACTGGGCAAGGCCAGGCATGGTGGCTCACGCCTGTAATCCCAGCACTTTGGGAGTCCGAGGTGGGGGGGATCACTTGAGGTAAGGAGTTCAAGACCAGCCTGGCTAACATGGTGAAACCCCATCTCCACTAAAAATACAAAAATTAGCCGGGCGTGGTGGCGGGCGCCTGTAATCCCAGCTACTTGGGAGGCTGAGTCACGAGAACTGCTTGAACCTGGGAGATGGAGTTTGCAGTGAGCCAAGATCACGCCATTGCACTCCAGCCTGGGCAACAAGAGCAAAATTGCGTCTCAAAAAAAAAAAGGTAGTTCTTCAGGCTAAAAGCAAGTTACCCCGGATGGCAATTTGAATCCACAAAAAGCACTGGTAAAAGTAATTATGCAATTATAAAAGACAGTATAAATTCATTTTTCTTCTCAACTGATTTAAAAAGCAACTGTATAAATATGAATATAACATATTGTTAGGCCTATTACATATAAAATGTAGTATATTTACCAAAAGCAAGACAAGAAAGGTGGGTGGGAGCAAAGCTGTACTGGGCTAAGGAAATGACTCCAGATGTCACTCAAATCCACGAGAAGAAATGAAGAGAACTAGAAATTATTTTATTTATTTATTTTTTGAGACGGAGTCTCGCTCTGTCGCCCAGGCTGGAGTGCAGTGGCGCGATCTCGGCTTACTACAACCTCCACCTCCCGGGTTCACGCCATTCTCCTGCCTCAGCCTCCCAAGTAGCTGGGACTACAGGCGCCGCCACCACACCTGGCTATCGTATTTTTAGTAGAGACGGAGTTTCACCATGTTAGCCAGGCTGGTCTGAAACTCCTGACCTCAAGTGATCCCCCCGCCTCGGCCTCCCAAGGTGCTGGGATTACAGGCATGAGCCACCGTGCCCGGCCTAGAAATTATTTTTTTAAAAAAGAGGATTAATATAATAAAAGCTGTATATACTTATTCTCCTTTTTCTCTCAGCTTCTGTAGAAAACATAAAATTATTTAAAGTAATGATTATAACAACTTATTGTTGGGCTTGTAACATTTATAGATGTGATAGTTATAACAACAATGCCACAAAAAGGAGAGAAAGGGAAAAAAGCTACATAGGAGTCATGTTTCTACATCTCATTAAAATTAAAGTTAATATAAATCTTAAGCTGAGGCTGGGCGCGGTGGCACATGCCTGTAATCCCAGCACTTTGGAAGGCTGAGGCAGGTGGATCACCTGAGGTCAGGAATTTGAGACCAGCTTGACCAACATGGCAAAACCCTGTCTCTACTAAAAAAAAAATACAAAAATTAGCCAGGCATGATGGCACACACCTGTAGTCCCAGCTACTTGGGAGGCTGAGACAGGAGAATTGCTTGAACCTGGGAGGCAGAGGTTGCAGTGAGCCGATATTGCGCCACTGTACTCCAGCCTGGGTGACAGAGCGAGACTCTATTTCAAAAATAAATAAATAAATAAATCAGAAGCTGATTCTAGTAAGTTAAAATGTATAGCCAGGTGCAATGGATCAGGCCTGTAATCCCAGCACTTTAGGAGCCCAAGGCAAGAGGATGAATCGCTTGAGCTCAGGGGTTGGAGACCAGCCTGGGAAACATAGTGAGACCTCATCTCTATAAAAAATAAACAAAATTAGCCAGGCATGGTGGTGCTTGCCTGTAGTCCCAGCTGCTCGGGCGACTGAGGTAGGAGGATTGCTTAAGCCCAGCACATCAAGTCTGTGGTGAGCCATGATAATGCCACTGTTTTCCAGCCTGGGTGACAGAGTGAGACGCTGTCTCAAAAAAAAAAAAAAAAGTATATAAAACCCTAGATCAACAACTAAGAAAATGCCAAAAATATACTTCAAAAAAATCATCATAGAAATGTAAATGCTACCTTAGAAAATATTCACTTAATGCAAAGGAAAGCAGTGAAGGAAGAATGAGGAACAGAAAAGACTTGAGACATAGAAAACAAAAAGTAAAATGGCGGCATAAATCCAACTATACCAATAATATTAAATGTAAATGGATTAAACAATGTAATCAAAAGGAAGATTATTGTACTGGATAAAAAAAAAGATTCGACCAGGCACGGTGGCTCACGCCTGTAATCCCAGCACTTTAGGAGGCCGAGGCGGGCAGATCACGAGGTCAGGAGATCAAGACCATCCTGGCTAACATGGTGAAACCCCATCTCTACTAAATATACAAAAAATTAGCCGGGTGTGGTGGCGAGTGCCTGTAGTCCCAGCTACTCAGGAGGCTGAGGCAGGAGAATGGCGTGAACCCGGGAGGTGGAGGTTGCAGTGAGCCGAGATCGCGCCACTGCACTCCAGCCTGGGCGACAGAGCGAGACTCCATCTCAAAAAATAAAAAATAAAAACACAAGGTTCTACTATATGCTGTCCATGGAGAAACATTTTAGATTTAAAAGCACAAATAGATGAAAAGCAAAAGAATAAAAAAAAGATATATCATGCAAAGGGCAATCACAAGAAAGCTGAAGTGGCTATAGTTTTATCAGACAAAATAGACTTTAAAACAAAAAAAATGCTTCTAGGGACATTTTAGAATTATAAAAGGGTCAATCCATCAGGTAAATATAACAATTATAAATATATATGCACCTAGTAACAGAGCACCAAAGCACATGAAGCAAAAACTGACGGAAATGAAGCGGGGAATAGATAACTCAGCAATGATAGCTGGAGACCTCAAGACCCCACTTTCAGTAGTGGATAGAAGTAGCCAGGAGACACTGTGGAAGGCCGCAGGGTCCTCTGCCTAGGAAAACCAGAGACCTTTGTTCACTTGTTTATCTGCTGACCTTCCCTCCACTATTGTCCTATGACCCTGCCAAATCCCCCTCTGCGAGAAACACCCAAGAATGATCAATTAAAAAAAAAAAAGAAAAAAAAAAAAAAAAAAAGAAGTAGCCAGGAGATCAACAAGGAAATTGAACATCATTTATGTATTTATTTTAGAATAAGTCTCACTATGCTGCCCAAGCAGATCTTGAACTTATGGGCTCAAGCAATCCTCCTACTTCGGTCTCACAAGTAGCATGAAAATTGAAGACTTAAACAACACTATGAACCAATTTGACTTGATGGATGTCTATAGAACACTCTACCCAACAAAAGCAGAATATACATTTTCTCAAGTGCTCATGGAATATTACCCAGAACAGACCCTATTCTAGGCGATAGCAAACCTCAATATATTTTAGTTTATTTTAATTTTTTTTTGTAGAGATGGAGTCTCAATATATTGCCTGGACTGGTCTTGAACTCCTCCGCTAAAGCAATACTCCCACCTCAGCCTCCCAAAATGCTGGTATTATAGGTATGAACCATCACACCCAACCCAATAAATTTTAAAAGAAATAATACAAAGTATGTTCTCCAACCAGAATGGAATGAAATTAGAAATCATTATTCTGTTGAAAGAAATTGGAGAGATTCACAAGTATATGGAAATTAAACAACACATTCCTAAATAACTAATGTTTCAAAGAAGGAACCAAAAGGGAAATTAGAAAATAATTTGAAATGAATGAAAATGAAGACACAAAAATATCAAAACTTACAGGATACCACTAAAGTAGTACTTATTAGGGAAGAACTTTTTAGTAGAAGGGAAATTTATAGTTGTAAAGGTCTACAATAAAATAATGATCTGAAATCAGTAACCTAACTTTCCACCTTAAGACAATGGTAAAAGAAGAGCAAAATAAGAAAGCCTAAAGGAAGCAGAACAAAGATTAGAATGGAAATTAATGAAATAGAGAATAGAAAAATAGAGAACATTAGTGAAACTAAATGCTGGCTCTATAAAAAGACCAACAAAATTGAAAACCTTTAGCTACATTGACCAAGAAAATAAGAGAGAACTTCAATTACTAAAATCAGATATGAAAGAAGGAGCATTACTACCAACATCAAAGAAATAAAAAAATTATAAAGGAATACTATGAACTATTACATGTCAACAAAATAGATAACTTAGATGATGTGGACAAATTTCTAGAAAGGTGGAAACTACAAAAACTGATGGAAGAAGAAACAAAATTTGAATAGAGATAACAAATAGAGATAATCACAACACTACCCACAAAGAAAAGCTCAGGACCAGATGACTCCAGTGGGAAATTCTAACAAACATTTAAAGAATAATTAAAATCCCATCACTTTGGGAGCCCAAGGCGGGCAGATCACTTGAGGTCAGGAGTTTGAGACCAGCCTGGCCAACATGGTGAAACCCTGTCTCTACAAAAAATACAAAAAATCAGCCAGGCATGGTGGCAGGTGCCTGTAATCTCAGCTAATTGGGAGGTTGAGGCAGGAGAATTGCTTGAGCCCAGGAGGAGGAGGTTGCAGTGAGCTGAGATCGTGCCACTGCACTCCAGCCTGGGCAACAGAGCAAGACTCCATCTCAAAATAAATAAATAAATAAAATACATAATAATACCAATTCTTCACAAACTGTTCAAAAAATAGAAAAGAAGAAAACACTTCCCAATTCATTTTATGAGGGCAGTATTACACTGACACCAAAACCAAATGAAGACATCACAAGAAAAGGAAACTACAGATTGATGTTTCTTATGAATATGGATGCAAAAATCCTCAACAAAATACTAGCAAGCCAAATTCACATCATATGAATTCTACATCATGATGAAACAGACTTTTTTTTTTTTTTTTATAGAGTCTCACTCTGTCACCCAGGCTGAAGTACAGTGGCACAATCTCAGCTCACTGCAACCTCCACCTCCCGGGTTCAAGTGATTCTCCTGCCTCAGCCTCCCGAGTAGCTGGGATAACAGGTGTCCACCATCATGCCCAGCTACCTTTTTTGTATTTTTATAGAGATGGGGTTTCACCTTGTTGGCCAGGCTGGTCTCAAACTCCTGACCTCAAGTGATCCACCCACCTCAGCCTCCCAAAGTGTTGAGATTACAGGCATGAGCCACCATGCCCAGCCCTGATGAAGTGGGATTTACCACATGAATGCAAGGTTGGCTTAACATCCAAAGATCAATTAATGTAATACACCATATCAATAGCATAAGAAAAAAAACCATGTGACCATCTCAAACGATGCAGAAAATGCATTTGACAAGATCCCAAGCCCTTTGATCATAAAAGTACTCAACAAACTAGGAATAGAAGGAAGCTTCCTTAACCTGACAAAGGGCATTTATAAAAAACCCACTAACATCAAACTTACTAATGAAAAGCTGGATGCTTTCTTCCTAAGTCAGGAACAGCACAAGGATGTGTACTCTCAGCACTTCTATTCAACATTGTAGGGGAGATTCTAGGTAGGACAATTAGGATAGAAAAAGAAGCAAAAAGCCATCCAGTTTAGAAAAGAAGTAAAACTATCTCTATTTGTAGGTAACCTGATCTTCCATATGTAAAATTTTAAGGAACTCAGTAAAAAATTACTGAATTCCAAGAGGCAGGGTTCATGGGGGCATCTTGGAGGCTACCCTCCCCAGTGCCAATTCTTCTCTTTCTTCATAGCATTGATCACAATGTGTACATATACTGACATGGATTTTTTGGTATCAGCATCCCCCTATTAAACTGTAACACTAATAAATTCAGCAAGGTTGCAGAATACAAGATTAATACACAAAAATTGATTGTATTTCTGTACATTTTCAATAAAGAATCCAAAAATGAAATTAAGAAGATTCTATTAACAATAGCATCAAAAAGAATAAAATACTTAGACATAAATTTATCAAAAGAAGTACAAAACTTATAGCATGAAAACCATGAAACATTGTTGGAAGAAATTAAAGATCTGCCATGGCTTGGATGTGGTTTGTCTCTGCCAAAACTCATATTGAAACTTAATTGCCAATATAATGATGTCAGAACCTTTAAGAAGTGGAGTCTAATGAGAGGTGTTTGGGTCATGGGGGGGTTCCACTCTCACAGGCCCCTTGGTGCCATTCTTGTGGTAGTGAGTGAGTTCTAGCTCTTGTGAGACCGGATTTGTTCTCATGGGCATTTATAAAAATGTTTGTTAGTATTTTGTTGAGGACTTTTACAAATATTTGGCTTGCTAGTATTTTGTTGAGGACTTTTGCATCCACACTCATAAGAAACATCTCATGAGAATGTGAGAGTGGGTTGTTATAAAGCCAGGACAGCCCTCAGGTTTTGTTTCTTCACATGTGCTCGCTTCCCCTTTGACCTTCTGCCACATTTTCATGCAGCAGGAAAGCCCTCACCAGAAGCTGAGCAGATGCCAGTGCTATGCTTCTCGAACTTCCCAGCCTGCAGAACTGTGAGCTAAATAAACCCCTTTCCTTTATATATTATTCTTTCTCAAGTATTCTGTTGTAGCAACATGAAGCAAACAAAGATAATATATAAATAAGCAGAAAGTAACATCCCATATCTGTGGATCAGAAGCGTTAAATTTGTTAAGATGGTAGTACTCTCCAAATTGATCTACAGAGGGAAACCCAGTGACTTACAAATTTAGTGGCCTGTAACAACAAACATTTATTATCTCAGTTTCCGTGGGCCGGGAATCCAGGCACAGCTTAGCTGGGCGTCAGTGGCTCAAGGTTCTCACGAGTTGCAGTCATATTGAGACTTGGCTGGAGCTAACAGATCTGTTCACTCACATGGTGGTTTGCAGGCTGCAGTGTTTCGCAGGCTGTTGGACTGAGGGCCTCTCAGTTCTTTGCCATGCCACATGGGCTTCTCCATAAGTCAACTCACAACATGGCAGCTTACTTCCCCTGGCACAAGTGATCCAAGAGCAAGACCACCCAAACTGGAAGCCACAGTCATTTCTTTTGAGACAGGTTCTGTCTCTGTCACCCAGGTTGGAGTGTGGTGGCACAATCATGGCTCACTGCAGCCTCAAACTTCCAGGCTCAAGCCATCCTCCCACCTCAGTCTCCTGAGTAGCTGGAACTGCAGGTACCTGCCACCACACCTGGCTAATCTTTTTATTTTTTGTAGAGTCAGGGTCTTCCTATGTTGTCCAAGCTGGTCTTGAATTCTTGGGCTCAAGCAATCCTCCTGCCTTGGCCTCCTAAAGTGCTGGGATTACAGGTGTGAGCCACTGTGCCCAGCCAGCTACAGTCTTTTTATAACCCAATCTCAGAGGTCACACTCCAACACTTTTGCTTTAGTGTCTGTGATCATCAAGTCAATGAGTCCTACCCCCATACAAGGGGAAGGTACGAAATAAGGGCTTGAATTCCAGGAGGTAGGGATCATGGGGGATCGTGGAGGCTGTCCTCCACAGCGCCCTTTATTATCTTTCTTCACAGCACTGATCACAATGTGTACATATACTGACATGGATTTTTTTTTTTTTTTTGTATCAGCATCTCCCTGTTAAACTGTAAGCTCCATGGTGGCAGAGACAATATCTGTTTTGTTCATCATTTTGTGCCCAAATTAGAGCACAGGGCCTGACTCGACAGGCACTTAACAAATATTAGTTGTGTCAGTTAGTTGGGAATAATAAATATCTTTTACTTTTATTTATTTATTTGTTTATTTATTGTTTTGGTGGTTTTGGGGTTTTTTTTTTTTTTTCCGAGACAAGATCTCAAAAAAAAAAAAAAAATGTTGAGATCTGTCATTCAGACGGAGGGCAGTGGTGCCATCGTGGCTTACTGCTGCCTCAACCTCCTGGGCTCAGGTGATCCTCCCAGGACAGCCTCCCACGTAGCTGGGACTACAGGTGCACGCCACCATGGCCAGCTCATTTTTGTTGTTGTTGTTGTATTTTTTATAGAGACAGGGTTTTGCCATGTTGTCTAGGCTGGTCTCAAATTCCTGGGCTCAAGCAATCCACCTGCCTCAGCCTCCCAAAGTGCTGGCATTGCAGGCATGAGCCACTGTGCCTGGCAATCTTTTCCTTTTAGACAGCCTCTCCCTGTTTGTTATTTAGGTTGACAGTTGAACGAATGGATTTATAAATATTTATTTTTGAATAAACATAGAAAATGTTGACTGGGTGCAGTGGCTCACTCCTGTAATCCCAGCACTTGGTGCGGCCAAGACGGGTGGATCATCTGAGGTCAGGAGTTCGAGACCAGCCTGGCCAACATGGCGACACCCTGTCTGTACTAAAAATACAAAAAAAAAACAAAAGAAAAAATTAGCTGGGTGTGGTGGCGCACGCCTGTAATCCCAGCTACTCGAGAGGCTGAGGCATGAGAATTGCTTGAACCTGGGAGGCGAAGGTTGCAGTGAGCTGAGATTGTGACACTGCACTCCAGCCTGGGCTACAGAGTGAGACTCTGTCTCAAGAAAGAAAGAGAGAAAGAAAGAAGGAAGGAAGGAAGGAAGGAAGAAAGGAAGGAAGGGGAAGGGAAGGGAAGGAAGGGAAGGGAAGGGAAGGAAGGAAGGAAGAAGAGAGAGAGAAATAAAGAGAAAGAAAGAAAGAGAAAGAAAGAAAAGAAAAGAAACTGTCTAATAGCACAGGTGAGCAGTGTGGAGTGGTTCTGTTTGAGGATTGGGCACGGGATGAGAGAGGAGAAAGCATTTCTACCCTCCTCTTATCCCTCTGCATTGTTGGAATCCTTAACAATGAGCAAATGTTATTTTCACAATCAAGATTTTAATAAAACAAATGATCCATAAATAATAAATAAAAATAGAAGACAAATGACAAACTGGAAAAAATTTACAACAAAAGGTTATTTTCTATAATCTACAAGGAGCCCTTGTAAATCAATAAAATAAAGATAAACCCACCGACAGAAAAATGGCCAAGAACCAGAAACTGACAATTCCCAAAAGAAAAGATACAAATGGCCAATAAGCAGATGGTAAATGTTCACCTGGAGGAGTAATCAGAGAAACGCAAGAAAAAAACAAGAGGAAGGAGGAGGAAGGGAAGAGGAAGGGGGATGGGAGCAGGAGGAGGAGGAGAAGGAGAAAGAGGATACAAAGAAAGAGAAATATGAGCATGAGAAAGAGGAGGAGGAGGCCGGGTGTGGTGGTCCAAGCCTGTAATCCCAGCACTTTGGGATTACAAAGTGGGCGGGCGGATCACCTGAGGTCAGGAGTTCGAAACCAGCCTGGCCAACATGGTAAAACCCCGTCTCTACTAAAAATACAAAAATTAGGCAGGTGAGGTGGTGGGCGCCTGTAATCCCAGCTACTTGGGAGGCTGAGGCAGGAGAATCACTTGAACCTGGTAGGCGGAGGATGCAGTGAGCCAAGATCGTGGCATTGCACTCCAGCCTGGGCAACAGAGTGAGACTCTGTCTCAAAAAAAAGAAAAAGAAAGAAAGAGAGAGAGAGAGAGGGAGAGAAAGAAAGAGAAAGAAAGAAAGAAGGAAAGAAAGGAAGGAAGGAAGGAAGGAAGGAAGGAAAGAAAGAAAAAGAAAGAAAGAGAAAAAGGGAGGGAGGGAGGCAGGGAGGGAGGGAGGGAAGGAAGGAAGGAAGGAAGGAGGAGAGAGGAGGAGGAGAAGGAAAATGAGAAGAAAGAAGAAGAAGGAGTAGGAGGAAGAAGAAGGAAACAGAAGAAGTAATTGTTCACCTACCAGATTGGCAAGAATGACAATGAATGAGAAAGCTGAGTGTGGGCGGCGTGGATCACCAGGCACCGGCTGTGCAGGTAGCGAGGGAATCTAAGCTCTTCGGTTCACTCTGTGCAGTGGCGTTGGCAACAGGGTCAGAGCCCTTGCCCTCGCTGCTCCCCTTCTAGGAATTTGAGATGACTGGAATCATTGGCCAATATGCCGAGCTATGTCTGTTCCAGCACTACACACCCTCAAAACATGCACATTACGGAATGTATTCAATGCCTCTAAATACTATGTAGGTGGTTAAAAATTATATTGCACATGTATATTTATTGATGTGTAAAAATAGTCACCCAGTTTGGCTGGGCGCAGTGGCTCATGCCTGTAATCCCAGCACTGTGGGAGGCTGAGATGGGTGAATCACAAGGTCAGGAGTTTGAGACCAGCCTGGCCAAGATGGTGAAACCCCATCTCTACTAAAAATACAAAAATTAGCTGGGTGTGGTGGTGGGTGCCTGTAGTCCCAGCTACCCGAGAGGCTGAGGTAGGAGAATCGTTTGAACCCAGGAGGCAGAGGTTGCAGTGAGCTGAGATCACACCACTGCACTCCAGCCTGGGTGACACAGCCAGACTCCGACTCAAAAAAAAAAAAAATGTTCGCCCAGTATTACTGAGTGAAAAACAAGTTATAAATAATGCCAACAATCCCATTTACGTAAGAAAGAAATATTTTTTTGCCTATAGAGAAAAAACTGTCAAAATTTGCAATAAAATATTAAATTGGTCATCACCAGTGTTGAGATTATGGGAAATTTTATCTCTTTGCTTATCTGTATTTTGAATTTTTTCTGCAATAAATATGTAGCACTCATATAATAAAAAAGGAAAATACAGGGTTTTTTTTTTTACATTCTATTGTGAGAGCTGGCATTTTCAAGTTTTGTTTTTAAATTGTCACAAGGTCTGGCTTTCTGGGCTCCAGGCTGGAATATGTGGCGGGTTTCCTGCTCGGGGAATTGTGTTTTTCCAGGTTGCCTGAGAGGCACTGGGAGTTTGGAACAAACAGGAGCTGCCCGTTTCTCACGGAGCCCTGACCCGGGGCAGCCCACTGGGCCTGGGCCACCACACGGCCCTGCAGGCCGAGGCCCCGGCCAGGCCTCACGCCCACCCTACACGGAGCAGAGCACCCAGGCCTGTATGTTGCGTTCTACCCGTATCTACAGGAGCACTGTCATTTGAGCCTTGTTGTTCTTGCCATTTGCACCCGTCCCCTGCAAGTTTTCTTCTCCCTGCAGCTCACTCCAAGGAGCAGGCCTGTGACTGAGGCCCGGCCAGTAGGAGCCTTCCACTCCCTCGCTGCAGTGATAGGCCGTGGGTGGGCGTGTGACCCAAGTCAGCCCAGCAAGGCGCAGTCCCAGGAATTTTCTCTTCTGGGGTTGTTGGGAGAAGAGAGCCTTGGCCTTCCCCAATGCCTGTGGAGAGCCAGGCAAAGAGGAAAGTCCACTGATGCTTGTCCCCCGCCACAGCCAAGCCGAGGCCAGCTGCCCTGGGCTGTTCATTCCCTTAAGCCAAGAGTTTCCCATTTTTGCTCAACTACTCTGAGCTGTGTTTCTGTCACTTACAACCAAAAGAGGCCTAACCGATTCCGTGAGCGAGGAACCAGGTGCAGCGGGAGGCCAGAGGTCCATGGGGTGATGGGGCAGGCCAATTTTAACCTTGCAGAGTCCTCAGCCCTGTAAGCCTCAGGTGTGCTCCTTGTGACTCACCTTGTCTGTGATCTGCCTGTGACCTTGCCTGTGACCTTGTCTGTGATCTTGCCTGTGACCTTGCCTGTGATCTTGCCTCTAATCTGCCTGTGACCTTGCCTGTGACCTTGCCTGTGGTCTCCCTACCAGGCCCGCCCAGTAAGCCAGCCCTCTGGGTCCTTCTATCCACAGAATCTCTGAAGATTTTGGGAACTCTCCCACACAAGCCCCGTCATTGGCAGAATACCAAAAAGTTGAACTTACATTCCCGAAAGTGCTTGGCTTCAGATTCCAAACTTCCTAATGTCTCCCACTGTAGCCTACATTTTGTGTAAATTTTGCATTCTCAACCATTATGCTTTAACATGTAAAGAATGTTTTCTCAGCCTGGTGTGGAGGCACATGCCTGTAGTCCCACCTATTCAGGAGGCTGAGGCAGGAGGATTGCTTGATGCCGGGGGTTCAAAGTTGCAGTGAGCCATGATTGTATCTGTGAATAGCCACTGCACCCCAGCCTGGGCAACATAGCAAGACCCTGGTCTCAAAAAAAAGTTTTCTCCAAGAAACCTTTGAATAACATATACCATTTATCCTGTGACTTTTGGAAACCAGCCCTGCAAGGATTTTCCCCCATTCTGTGGGTTGTCTTCTCACTGTCTTCATAGTGTTCTTTGATGAACAAAAGTTTTTAATGTTGATGAAGGCCAGTTTATATTTTCTTTTGTTGCTCATGCTTTCAGTGTTTTTCTAAAAAACCATTGTCAAATTAAAGATTATTAAGATTTAACCCCATGTTTTCTCTTTCTTCTTGTTCTTTTTTTTTTTTTTTTTTTTTGAAACAGAGTCTCTCTTTGTCAACCAGGCTGGAGTGCAGTGGCACAATCTTGGCTCACTGCAACCTTCACCTCCCAGGTTCAAGCAAGTGATTCTCCTGCCTCAGCCACCTGAGTAGCTGGGACTATGAGTATGTGCCACCACACCCGGCTAATTTTTTTTGTATTTTTTTGGTAGAGATGGGGTTTCACCATGTTGGCCATATTGGTCTCAAACTCCTGGGCATCAAGTGGTCTGCCCACCTCAGCCTCCCAAAGTGCTGGGATTACAGGTGTGAGCCACTGTACCAAGCCCCCCATGTTTTCTTCTAAGAGTTGGATAGTGTTAGCTCTTTGATCCATTTTTAGTTGATTTTTGTATATGGTGTGAGGTAAGAATCCAAACTGTTCTTTTTTTTTTTTTTTTTTGAGACAGAGTCTCACTCTTGTCACCCAGGCTGGAGTGCATTGGCATGATCTCAGCTCACGACAACCTCCGCCTCCTGGGTTCAAGTGCTTCTCCTGCCTCAGCCTCCTAAGTAGCTGGGATTACAAGTGCATGCCACCACGCCTGGCTGATTTTTGTATTTTTGGTAGAGATGAGGTTTCACCATATTGACCAAGCTGGTCTTGAACTCCTGACCTCAAGTGATCCACCCACCTTGGCCTCCCAAAGTGCTGGGATTACAGGCATGAGCCACTGCACCTGGCCAAAGTCCAACTTGTTCTTTTATGCGTGGATATTCAGTTGTCTGAGCCGAACAGACGCCTGGGGTAGGCGTCTCCCAGGTCCCCTGAGAACCCTGGGGAGAGGACACGCTCACACCATTCTGGAAAGGACAGATCCACTAAACACCAGACCCAGTTCATGGATGGTTTGTGTCTGGGAGGGTGGGGAGGGGCTGACTGGGAGAAAGGGATATCATGGGCAGAAGCTGGGCAGAAAGATGAAGCAAGAGGGGAAGAAACTGGGGAAGGCGGGAGAGAGCTGCAAACGCGGGCACCAGGGTAGGCAGGCTGGCTGGGAGGGGAGGGGTCCGCCACTGGCCGAAGGGGAAGGGCCAGCTCTGCGAAGAGCCTTGAGGCTGGGTTTGGGGTGAGGCTGAGACAAGAGCCAGGAGGAAGCCTGGAGCCCCTTATCACCCCTACCTTGGATGGTCCTGGGGGACACTGTCCCTCAGAGGGCCACGGGGCTTATGGCTAACGATTCTCAGCTCCTGGCCCCCCATGCCTCACCTCAAAACAAAAAAAAAGTTAGCATTTCCAGGCAACATAGTGTAGGGGTCAAGTTCATGAATTCAGGAATCCAACTCTCAATCAGTGTTCAAGTCCTGGATCTATTGCAAACAGCTGTGTGCTCTTGGGCACGTTGCTTCACCTCCCTGAGCCTCTGAGTCCCCAGACAGTCAAAGGAGGAACACCTCAGAGGGGGATAGAGCGGGTTCAGTCATGCAGCATGCTCAGACTGGAGCTATTTTTAGCACATGCTGCATGCCAGGTGTGGGTGAGCAGCACGTGCCTGGGAACATCTGGGAGCAGGTACCCGAGATGCTGAATGACACTTACTTTCTCACTCTTTCCAGGTTAGATTGTTCCCAATGGGGGTGTATCCCTTTGGGAGTAGAGAACCCAGTGACGGTTCGGATCTGTGACTTGCTGTTTTAACCCAGGTCTGCTCCTGGCCCAGGACAGGAGACCGAGGGCAAAGGCCACACTATTGGTTTGACCTGAGCGTGGCCAGGCTGTGCTTGGCCCAGAGCCGGCTCTGGCAGGAAATGTTCGCTGCCGGAGTCCCGGACCCTTTGTGTCTGGGGCTGCTGGGGCAGGGGCTGCAGGGCTGCCTCTTTGGGAAGAGCTGAGGCGGGCCCTTCAAGGTTGTGGGCTTTTAGAATTGCATGCGGGATGCGACCCATTTCACAGCCCTATCGTCATCTCAGAGGGAAAGCGACTTGCTCAGGGTTTCACACATGTTTCTGAGGATGGAACCCCAGGCCAGCCTGGCTTTCTGCACCCCCTTTCAGAAAGCTGAGGTCTTGGTCCAGGAGGGACCACGGGAGTCTGAGATGCCTGGTGTCAGTGTCTGCCCCGGCTGGAAAGTCACATCCGCTGTTTGGCCACAGGCGTGGGCTCTGCGGCACCTCCTTGGGGGGAAGCTGGCATTGTGTTCTCGATGGCCGGTTATGGAAAAATCACAGAGAGCTGAGTAAACAGAGAACCACGGGCCGCCGCCATGGGAACCGCGGGGTGGAGGTGGCAGTGGAGGCTGGGGTAGGGAGGCCGTGGCTTGACCCAGGCTCACCTGGGAGCCAAGAATTTGCCAACACAGAGCCAGGGGGCCCGAGGGGGCCCTGAGGGTGTCTGAAGCCCAGGGAGTTCCCCAAAGTCACCTAGCAAGTCAGGGCCAGGTCCAAGGGCTGCACCCACGCCCCCCAGCTAGAGACCCTCTGCTCCCTGCTCCCCCAGTCAGACAGGCTGTCAGAGAAATAGCAAGAATTTCTTTCTGAACTGTAATTTTGGGGAGGCTTTGGGGACAGTCCTCATCCCTCACCTTCCAGACTCTGACCTTGACAGAGGTGCAAAGCAAGGAGCCATCAATATCCAAGTGAAGGTAGAGGTAGTTCCAAATTTTGCTCTGTGCTATTTAGTGAAAGTCCTTCATAGTCCCCAGGAAGGTGTTTGCTCCTGGAAGATGTTGGCATGAGTGCATGGGAGGGATGAGCGCATGGGAGCGATGAGCGCAAGGGAGGGATGAGCGCATGGGAGGGATGCGCGCATGGGAGGGATGAGCGCAAGAGAGGGATGAGCGCAAGGGAGGGATGAGCGCTTGGGAGGGATGAGTGCATGGGAGGGATGAGCGCAAGAGAGGGATGAGCGCAAGGGAGGGATGAGCGCTTGGGAGGGATGAGCGCAAGAGAGGGATGAGCGCATGGGAGGGATGAGCGCTTGGGAGGGATGAGCGCATGGGAGGGATGAGCGCAAGGGAGGGATGAGCGCATGGGAGGGATGAGCGCATGGGAGGGATGAGCGCAAGGGAGGGATGAGCGCAAGAGAGGGATGAGCGCAAGAGAGGGATGAGCGCATGGGAGGGATGAGCGCATGGGAGGGATGAGCGCATGGGAGGGATGAGCGCAAGAGAGGGATGAGCACATGGGAGGGATGAGCACATGGGAGGGATGAGTGCATGGGAGGTGTTAGCACTTGGGAGGGATGAGTGCTTGGAAGGGATGAGCACATGGGAGGGATGAGCGCATGGGAGGTCTTAGCACTTGGGAGGGATGAGCACATAGAAAGGATGAGCGCATGAATGGGATGAGCACATGGGAGGTGTTAGCACATAGGAGGCATCAGAATCAGAGAAGATTCAGTAGATAAAGCTTATGACACACAGCCAGTACTCCCTTACCAAGGACCTGTGATGAAGGACACCTTTATTTAAATGGATGATGATTCACTTTGAGAATGGAAGTGTAAACAGAGAGGCCGGGTGCGGTGGCTCACGCCTGTAATCCCAGCACTTTGGGAAGCCAAGGCGGGTGGATCACCTGAGGTCAGGAGTTCGAGACCAGCCTGGCCAACATGGCGAAACCCCGTCTCTACTAAAAATACAAAAAATTAGCTGGGCATCATGGCACAAGACTGTAATCCCAGCTACTGGGGGGGCTGGGGCAGGAGAATTGCTTGAACCCAGGAGGCGGAGGTGGCAGTAAGCCGAGATCACACCACTCCACTCCAGCCTTGGCGACAGAGCGAGTCTCCATATCAAATAAATAAATAAATAAATAAATAAATAAATAAATAAATAAATAAGTGTGGATTGGCTCATGATGCTTCCCTGAGTGAGAGGTAGCCACATCCCTTTGGAAGTGGTTGGACCCAGGGGCCATCCCAGGGCTTGGGGATGAGGTCAGTTTGCTTACAGGAAGCTGCTACTTCCTGTTTCTAAGAATACAGATCAAATGGCATTTCCCTTAAGAATCTCCCAGCCACCCAGGAGGGACTTGTCTGCTGAGGCCACGGGCCCTTTCCCAGCCCCTTCGTCGTCCGAGAGGCTGAGTCTCTGGGTTGCTGTGCACTCAGCGCACACCCTGGGCCATAAGCCGCCTCCCACAGCCGCCACAGCTGTGGATGCTACTTGGCGCTTGGGGCTGGCCTGGGACCAGGCACTGGGTGGCTCATTTTGCTCCTCTCTGGAATTCACCGCAGCTCATACAGAGCTGGGCTCCACTTGGTACCCCCAGAAGGAGGTCCCTGACCCAGCATGCTCCCTGCCAGCAGCGGTGGCCGTCTGCGCTCCTGCCTGCCCAGCACCTCTTCTTCCAATGTCTGCATCTTGACTGTCTTTTGGGGAGCCCTCCTCCCCCGACCTCCTGCAGTGACTTCAGACCACATGACTCCATGTAACCAACTGGAGCATTGCAGGGATTGGTCCAGAAATGGGAACAGAACCCATATCCCGTGAGAGCCCATTAGGAGGCTCAAATCAAAGGATTTTTTTGTTTGTTTGTTTGTTTGTTTGTTTGTTTGTTTTTGAGATGGAGTTTCACTCTTCAGGCTGGAGTGCAATGGCGTGATCTCGGCTCACTGCAACCTGCACCTCCCCAGTTCAAGCAATTCTCCTGCCTCAGCCTCCCAAGTTGCTGGGATTACAGGCATGCACCACTACGCCTGGCTAATTTTGTATTTGTAGTAGAGACGGGGTTTCACCATGTTGGCCAGGCTGGTCTTGAACTTCTGACCTCAGGTGATCCGCCCACCTCAGCCTCCCAAAGTGTGGGGATTACAGGCATGAGCCACTGTGCCCGGCCTCAAATCAAATGCTTTTGATTAAACCATTGGCAAAGAGAATCTCCTGGTTGGGGGGCACTCAAGTGGGATGTTGGGTGTGGCTGCTGGCAGCCATGTTACCATCATGAGGCGAGAATGCCACCACAGAGGAAACAGATCTCAGCTCACTGCAGCCTCAACCTCCCAGGCTCAAGTGATCCTTCCACCCCAGCCTTCTGAGTAACTGGGACTACAGGCATGCGCCACCATGCCTGGCTAATTTTTTTCTTTTTTGTAGAGACGGGGGTCTTACTATGTTGCCCAAGCTGGTCTTGAACTCCTGGGCTCAAGCAATCCTCCTGCCTCAGACTCCCAAAGTGCTAGGATTACAGGCAGGAACCACTGCACCCAGCTGAGAGGTGAATTCTTAAAGATGTCACTTGTGAGCCCTTGATCCTGCCTTTCCTGAAGCCATCCATCCCCTGGACTTTTCAGTGAAATGAGCCGACGATTTTCCCCTTGTGCTTCAGCCCATTTGAATCAGGCTTCTGCCCCCTTGCAATGGAAAGAGACCCGACTCGTCCACCACGTCAAGCTCAGCCTCTGCTGGACCTGAAGGGGCTTCTTTTTCTCTGGCAGATCCCAGGAGTATGGTCAGCTTCCTGCTGGCCTCCCCAACTCACCCCTCACATAGGCCTTCAGTAAACACAAAGGGCCAAGGGTGAACCAGGAGAGCTGCTGGCGGCCTGTGGGTGGAGGCTGGGTGGAGGCATGGAGGCTGGAAGCAGGGGAGGGGCTGTGGCCCCAGGGGTCCTGGCGTTCCCGGCAGCCCTTGAGGAGGCCAGAGGTGCAGCCAGGGGGGATTTCTGAGGCCCTAGAGTGAGTGGACTCAAAGGGCTGGTGAGACCCTCCTTGTGCAGCCCCAGCTGTATTAATAGGGTCACTAAGGCCAGAGAGGGCAAGGAATGGCCGGGGCTCCGCAGCTGGAAAGGCAGGCTCTGTCTACCCAGGAGGCTCCGTGTGCGGCTGTCTCGGCCACAGCAGCTCCTTGATTCTCTGGGGAAGGTTTCCCCTGGGCAGAAGGGTCCCCCTAAAACAGTGTGAACCACCACAGGCCTCTCGTGAGCCGCCGCGCCCGGCCTGTCTACTTCTTTTATCGAGAGGGAGATCCTTTCCTATCCTGAGCCGCAGCCCGCGGCCGGGGCACCTGGGGTCCAGGTTGCTCCTCCGCTGTGGGCGCTGCTTGAACTGGTGCCAGGTCCCGGTGTCACCGTAGGTGAGCAAGGTGTGGCCGCCGCAGCAGCACCCCTGTCCCTTGTGGTCCCTATGCTGTGGCTTTTCCCTGGGTGTTTACTGTAGAAAATGTCATCACACAAGTGTGTGTTGTCTTCACTCGCCCTCACTGGCCTCCTTCCTGAAGCACTCCCTGTCTCTTCAGTGCTGAGTCTTCTCCTCTCTCCTTCTCCCCGCATGTCAACTTGGGAAGCCCCTCAGCCTCCCCGGACCTCATCTCCCACCTGCACAAGGTGGAGGTTGGAGGAGGTGACTCAGAGGCCCTTTCCAGGTCAAACACCCTGGGGTCTACCCTTGTGTCATTCACAGGGGGAGGGGCAGAGCCACACTCTCTTTCCTGACAGCTCTCCAGGGTGACGGATTGGGCGATTCCTCTCTCTGTCTCCCGAGATGTCTGATGCATTGCACACTGGGTCCATTAGCACCTCACAGACAGGGCGAGACGGCTCAAGGCCCTCCCATTCCTCGTCCGCGCTCTCAGGTGCCTTTCCGTGCATGAGCGCAGAGCTACATCACTGGCGCTTAGGACGCCTGGAGCGACGCGTTTTTCACCAACAGGCCCTGGGCTCAGTGCTGAGCGCCTCGGCCCGCGAAGCCACACAGCACCAGGGGAGGCGGAGTCCGGCTTTATTCCCGTTGCTCAGGTAGGCAAATGCAGAGCAGGGCCTGTGCTCCTCACTTCCGCCTCTAAACAGCTCTACCTCCTTGAAACAAAACAAAACAAAACAAAACATAACAAAACACAAGTATGGAATATTTGCAACCCAGGAAGCTACAAAGAAAGGCTTAGGGGCCAAGAATGTGTTCCTCTCAGGGAGTTCCATCCTTGACTGTAAGTTCCATTCCTGCCCCATCTCCACTGACATTTTTTTTTTTTTTTTAACGACAGGTTCTCACTCTGTCACCCAGGCTGGAGTGCGGTGGCGCGATCTTGGCTCCCTGAAACCTCTGCCTCCCAGGTTCAAGCAATTCTCCTGCCTCAGACTCCCGAGTAGCTGGGATTACAGACACCCACCACCACACCTGGCTAATTTTTGTATTTTTAGTACAGACAGGGTTTCACCATGTTGGCCAGGCTGGTCTTGAACTCCTGACCTCAGGTGATCCGCCTGCCTCGGCCTCCCAAAATGCTGGGATTCCAGGCATAAGCCACGGCACCTGACCTCCACTGACATTTCATATGAACGCTGCCAGCTCCTGAGACGTCCTCTCCCTCCCAAGCCTGTGTTAACTCTGGGCTAGAACATTGAATGAAGTCACAGGAGGGTTCCTTGTAGCAAACGGTGTTCGTTCATAAATGAAGACTAATTAATCACTGAGGCTGTAAGTGAGCTGTGTTTCTCCCTTTTCCTTTCTTTGTTCTCAGTGAGAAACCTCTGGCGTGGGGTCAGCCCCTCCATCTGCCAGCTCTCCTTCAGCTGCTCCATCCAGCTGGGGAAATGAGCACCTCTGGCAATTCTGATTCAAACACGACACCAAGCTGTGTTCCTTCCACCACTCCAGAGTCGCAGCATGAGGCCCGGGAATGCGCAGAATTACCCTTGAAACCTCCAGGAAGAGGTAAGGGCACGATGCCGGCACCTGCCGGTTGCACCAGCCTCGCTGGGCCTGGCAGGTTTTGGTTTCCCCAGTGGATCCTACACCCAAAGCCGTCTCTACCCTCCGAGGTCCTGAGGGATGAAGGGACAGCGGAACCATGACTCCATCACACCCACCCACGGAGGGAGACGGCAGGTGGAGTCACCCACCCCTCAGACTCTTCTCTCCTCGCTTCTTCTCTACCTACTGAGCATAGAGATAAAGGCGACTATGCTGAGACCTCTCTATGATGCCACAGCTGGCATTTAGTGAGCATTTCCCATGTGCCAAGCATGGTGCTGAGGGCCTATCGCACTCCGGTGAATTCAGCTGGAAGGAGCAGACCACCAAGAACCCAATTGCTTTGAATAGTAAAGGCTTTTTTTTTTTTTTTTTTTTTGAGATGGAGTCTCACTCTGTCACCTGGGCTGGAGTACAGTGGCGCGATCTCAGCTCACTGCAACCTCCACCTCCCAGGTTCAAGCGATTCTCCTGCCTCTGCCTCCTGAGTAGCTGGGATTACAGGTGCCTGCCACTATACCTAGGTAATTTTTTGTATTTTTAGTAGAGATGGGGTTTCACCATGTTGGCCAGGCTGGTCTCAAACTCCTCACCTCATGATTCACCTGCCTCGTCCTCCCAAAGTGCTGGGATGACAGGCATGAGCCACCACGCCCAGCCAATAAAGGCTTTTAAGATCATCTCTTGGCCGGGCACAGGCGCTCATGCCTGTCATCACAGCACTTTGGGAGGCCGAGGCAGGAGGACTGCTAGAGGCCAGGAGGTGTAGGTTGCAGTGAGCCAAGATTGTGCCACTGTACTGCAGCCTGGGAGACAGAGCGAGACCCTGTATCAAAATTAGAAAAATAAATAAATAAATAAAGATAATCTCTCAGAACAAGAAGTCTGGGAGTTAGTCATCTCGGGCTACTCTGCAGCTCAGCAATGCCCCCATCTTCCTGCTCCGCCGTCCTCATTGTTGGGTTTTACATCCTCAAGATGGAGGCCTCATGGGCACAAAACAGCTGCTGCAATTCCAGCATCATAAGCTCATCACAGGCAGGGAGTAGGGAAAGCAAAGGCTTCCTCCTCTGTATTTTATTCAGGAAGCTCAGCAGACTTCCTCTTATAACTCATTGGCCAGAGGTGGGTCACATGACCACCCTTAGCTGCCAGGGATGCTGGGAAAGCCAGTATCCAGCAAAGAGAAGGGCATCGCTGTCAATGGGTTAGCCCACTCATGATTCATCCACCGGGCCTGGCACTTTTGCTACCTGGAGCAAATTCAGGCTTCCATTAGCAAAAGGGCTGTCATCTCTGTTGGGCAGCCAGCTACCGCTGCCATGTATCTTCTCAAACTCACAAAGCCCACTGAGGTGAGGCCTATTATTCTTTCCATTTTACAGATGATGAAACTGAGACTCACAGATACTTTGTAACTTGCCCAAGATCACACAGCTCATAACTGGCAAGGATCTCATCCGAGATCTGTCCCCATAGAGGGTGCTCTTAGCTACCACACATGACTAGGTACCTGCTGCTTATATACCACCCCAGACTGTGAACCTCTTGAGGGAAGAGAGGTTCTTCCCTCTCTTCATCTTCATCATTATCTTCATCTTTGCACTTCAGCAGTGCCTTGCAATTGACAGAAGCCCTGCTGAATTGATTTAAACACATAACCATTTGGTTCTGATGCTCACTGTTTTGTAATATGCTTTAAAACCAAGAGTTTAAACTTGCCAACACTGCCTTTAAAAATACGCCTCTTTTCTTTTGCATTGTTTTCCACTTACCCATGCTGGGTTCCTGAAGTCCTGGGCATAATTCCAATGTAAATATCACCAATGATGGAAATTTGGGGAAGGAGAGGAGGGTGAAAGACCAGTTGAGGCCCTGGAGTGTGTCAGTTCCTCATTAACAGTGGAACCATGGAAAAATCTTTGTTCCCGCCTGTTGGCCTCTTGCCTCCAGGATCTGGGTGGGTATTGCCTTTGGCTAGCTTCCTGCTCAGGTCACAGACAGTCTGATCAGAGCGGGAGTGTCCTGGGGAACAGAGGCCCGAAACAGGCTGGGTCCCTGGAAGTGGATGCAAGAAAAAGGTGGGCACTGTGAGAATCAGCAGCCCAGTGGGCCCATGCTGGCCACTCTATGTCCACTTTCTTTTTTTTTTTAATTGAAGACGGAGTCTTGCTCTGTCACCAGGCTGGAGTGCAGTGGCATGATCTTGTCTCACTGCAACCTCCGCCTCCTGGGTTCAAGCGATTCTCCTGCCTCAGCCTCCCGAGTAGCTGGGATTACAGGCGCCCACCACCATGACTGGCTAATATTTGTTGTATTTTTTAGTAGAGACGAGGGTTCACCATGTTGGCCAGGCTGGTCTCGAACTCCTGACCTCAGGTGATCCGCCCGCCTCGGCCTCCCAAAGTGCTGGGATTACAGGTGTGAGCCACAGTACCCGGCCCCTATGTCCGCCATCTCAGGTGGCACTCATAATGACCCTGTAGGACTGGGACCGCCGTGCTTCCCACTTCACAGTGAGAAAACTGAGGTTCAGAGAGGTGGAGCCGCTCCTCTAAGGTCACGCAGTAGAGCTAAGACTGAAGCCAACGGACTTCTCAGGTGGAGTCCTTAACCTAGCCGAGGGTGACTGGCAGGTACCTCGGGGACCTTGGAGAGGGTACTGAGGGCATGTTGGGGGCCAAAGAGGCTCCAGGCCCATCTTCAGGACTATCTAACTCAGTGCTCGGGAGCAGGGGCTTTGAGTTAGAACTTGCACTGCCTGGCGACCAGGGACAAAAACTCCAGCACTCTTTCTGTCCAGCACAGAGGTTACGAGCCTGGGCTCTGGGGCCACATGACCTGCAGGAAATCTCTGCTGTCCCATATACTGGTCGTGTGGCCCTTGTTTCACTGGGTGTAATAGCACCACTCTGAGGCTGCTTCTGAGGATGAAGCAATGCACTTAGCCCCGTGCCTCCATCAGCCAGGATGCAGTTCGTGTGAACCACGGTTACTTGACACCCTCACAGTGGAGAGGGCTGCGAGGGCCAAGGGCAGACCCTCTCCTGGTCCCATCCTTCCATCGGCCCCAGCAGCTGCCTTTGGAAGTGCTGCTTTTGGGGTGGGCTGACCCAGGAGGGCGTGGGCTGATTTGGGTATGCAAATGAGGGGATGTGGGTCCAGGGAATTAAAGACACGTGGACGCCAACTTGCAAATTTGAACATTTTCCTGGAGTCTGGTTTTTGGAAGCCAGGGGACAGAGCCTAACTGAAGCTCCCTCCCACCCTGAGCCCCCACTGTGTCCAGACAGCAGCTCGAGGCCCAGCAACTCCCAGCACCCAATAGCCACTCTGGGAATGACCACGCTCACCTGCCCTGCAGATCCCCTGGGTCCACTGGGCCTGCGCTGGGTGTGCCGTAAGTTATGGCTTCAGGGAGTCAGCGTAGAGAGATAGAGGGCATGCCAAGGTCACCCACAGGCCCAGCTATGGATCCGAGAGCCCCACCTGTGCGTCTGCCGCAGAGGTTGGCTGCAGCCCAGGCGTCAGGTGGTTTGGACATAGTGCCCAGCCCTGCCACGCTGGGGATCTGGGTGCCGCTGCCAACTTCCTCCACCTCTCTGGGTTCCCGGGCCCCATCTGAGGACCTGGAAAGAACCCAGAGCGCTTAGGCCTGACCTGGCAGACGCCGGGCCTAGGCTCTGGGCCACAGTGACAGGATATCCCCAGGGAGCTGGGCTGGCTGCCCACGCAGGGAACACCAGGGCGGAGACCTGGCACTGCCGAACGAGAAGACCCAGAAGGGCATCCAGGAGGGAAAGTCAGAACAGCTGAGCCTCAGGGGTCAAGAACAGTCCAGGGTTGTTATGGAAACCAGGACTACAGGCAGTGGGGGCAGGGAACGCTGTGCACCTACAAATAGAGCCTGAGAGCCAAGGCCAGGGCCCCGGTCTCCTGCCGCTTTATCCTCGCGGCCGGGGACCCTGCAACCTCCAGACGCTGTCCCACCCCCACTTCACAGCGACCCTGCGTTCAGAGGGGAAGGGGTGTTCCCAGACTCCCACAGCTAGGGTGGTACCCGGGAGAACCCAGCCCAGCGTGAGGACTTGCCCAGCCACCCTAACCCAGCCCCAGGCCTGGGAGCACCCCCTGAGGTGAAGCCGCAGCCCCACCCCCCAGCCCCTGCACACAGGAGTCAGGCTGGCCCTCCAGGTTCAGGGCCTGACGACTTGCCCTCAGGCACCCCCAAGCCAACAGCCTCTTCCCCATACCAGGGAGCAAGTCCCAGATCTCAAAATGCCTTTTCCAGTTGTGCCTTAAGGCTTGCAAGCTCGGTGGGGTGTAACAATTTACAAGGCAAACAGGGATTTTGTGTCTTATGCACTAACAACCCACTTCCAGCTGAGGCCGTGCAGGCAGACTGGTCAGGCTTGGGCTAGGACAGCTGGAGCCCTCTCCCCTGCTGGTAGGTGCAGCACAAGACTGGCACTATGTATTTGTGCCCGACACTGTGGCAGGGAAGAAGGTAGTACAGAGCCAGGGAGAGCCCAACCTACTGTGTGGCATCGGCAAATCCCAGCCCCTCTCTGAGACTTAAACCCCTGTC